>NT_167244.2:350864-442980 GCF_000001405.40 Homo sapiens
GGCCAACACAAAGAAACCCCGTTTCTACTAAAAATACAAAAAATTAGCTGGGCATGGTGGCGGGCATCCGTAATCCCAGCTACTTGGAAGGCTGAAGCAGGAGAATCACTTGAACCCAGGAGGTGGAGGTTGCAGTGAGCTGAGATCGTGCCATTGCATTCCAGCCTGGGCAACAAGAGTAAAATTCATTCTCAAACAAAACAAAAACAAAGCCAGCTAGATTGAAGCCAAATTACATACCAAAAACAGTTCTGAAAAGGTGCATATGATGAATTTTATCAAGAGATCAGAGGGTTCAAAGTGTTTGAAGACTTTGATTCTGATGGAATAATTTTTGGCTTGGAATAACTGGTAATTTAATTATAAGGATATTAAAATCCCTAACTAAAGGCGTAGACAGGATGGTTATAGAATAATAGTATACAAGTGGAAGGCAATCCATCAAAGTCTCCTGACTACCCTGAAGTTGATAGGAAATTGACATGACTTGTCTCAAGGAACAGAGTACATTGGGGGAACTTCTGAAAAGAAAGGAGTTTCTAACTTTGAAGACATGTCATATGGGTTCAGCATTGCTTCCTAAACAGAAGAAGACTTTTCTTTCTTTCCTTTTTTTTTTTTTTTTTTTTTTTTTTTCCTGAGACAGATTCCTACTCTGTCACCCACGCTGGAGTGAGTGGCGCGATCTGGGCTAACTGCAACTTCTGACTCCTGGGTTCAAGCGATTCTCTTGCCCCAGCCTCCTGAGTATCTGGGATTACAGGCGTGTACCACCATGCCCTGCTAATTTTTTTGTACTTTTAGTAGAGATGGGGTTTCGCCATGTTGGCCAGGCTGGTCTCGAACTCCTGACCTCATGTGATCTGCCCACCTTGGCCCCCACAAAGTACTGGGATTACAGGCGTGAACCACCGCGCCCAGCCAACAGAGGAAGGATTTTCTAATTGTTGACAGAATTTAGTGAAATCACCAGAGCCTGGAAAATAGGAAAATGAGTTCAAAGGTCATTACCATCATTGAAGATAAGGAAAGACTAAGAAGATTCTCATCACAATGGAGTACTTCTTATTTCTTACAGAAAAAGATTCTTGGCATCAGCCTCTTGAAGGCCTCCTTCATATCTTTATTTCTAAGGCTGTAGATGAGGGAGTTCAACATGGATGTGATGATTCCATAGAAGAGGGAAACCATCTTTCCCCAGTCCTTAGAGGTGGATGAAGGTGGTTGAAGATACATATAAATGGCTGTTCCATAAAAGAGGGACACCACAATCATGTGGGACCCACATGTCCCAAATGCTTTTTGCCGTCCTTCTGCTGACCTGATTTTTAATACTGCTTGAGCTATGAAGCCATAGGAGATGAGGATCAATGTCACTGGAATTAGAAGAATTAGTACACTAAAGAAGAAGAGCTCAGCCTCAATAGGCTTTGTGTCAGCACATGACAACTTGAGAAGTGCAGGCACCTCACAGAAAAAGTGGTCCACTTCCTGGTGACCACAGCGTGGCATGTTAAGAGTCAAGGAAGACTGCAGCACTGAGTTGCCGAAACCAATGAGCCATGAGAAGGCTGCCATCCTTAGGCAGAACCAATAATTCATGATGACTACATAGTGGAGGGGTCTGCAAACAGCCACATATCTGTCAAAGGACATAACAGCCAGAAGGAGACACTCTGTAGCACCTAGGGCCAGGAAGATGATGAGGTGGGCCACACAGCCAGCATAGCTGATGGTCTTTTTGTTGCAACCAATATTTACCAACATATGAGGGACTGTAGTTGTGGTATAGCAGAGATCTAAGATGGAGAGATTAGTGAGAAAGAAATACATGGGAGTATGAAGTTTGGGATCCAGAATGCACACCATCATGATGGACACATTGCCAAATATGGTGATTGTGTATGATATTAACAGGACCACAAAAAGGGGCATTTGTAGCCAAGCCCTATCTGAGAAGCCAAGTAGTATAAACTCTTTTGGGGAGCTCTCATTTTCCCAATTCATGATGACTCACTTATTTCGCACTCCTAAAAAAATGTAAGATAGGAAAGCAATCAATGTTTGTTTATTGAATACTCTTACTGGAGCTGAATTAAATTTAATGAATAGCTCAGCATCAAATACAATTTACAGTCAAGTGGATAAAGCCCTTGTAAAGTATAATATGGTTATGTTTAAGCTTAAAAGTAGTTCCTGTGTTTTCAGTAGTGTTTAAATTACTTTAAAGAAAATCATTACATTTAAATGACATAAAGTATGTAACATATGCATAACACATGGAAAATTGTGAGTTCTCAATGCATTTTATGTTCTCTCCTCTTCTTACCTCCTAACCTATCTTAATAAACAGTTTAGAAAGAAATATTACTTTTACTCCAATTATTTTAAATTTGGCCTGAAAATGCTGAGTAATATAGAGGGTATAAGAGTTGAATCTAAATCTGCAATTGATCTAAAGAAATTTTGCTTCTTTTAGTAACATCTTTACGTGTTTTTTTGAGTTGTGTCTGTCTCCTAAATGCCATGCATGTAGGTCCATTTCCACAAAGAACTACCGTGGGTATTAGTAATAAAATTATGGCTACTTGTGATATATAGTAATGACCACAGATGTCATCTCCCCATCTGCAAATACCTTAATTAAAATAGCAAAACTGATAACATAATTGTTGCTTTACTTAACATGTGCCAGAAACTGCTCAGTGTGTGAAATACATTCTTTGTAATTCTCATCAAACCCCTCACAGTCATGGTTTGCATTTTATTGCTTCTGTGATTCAGTAAGAATAAATAATTTGCACACTCATTATTGGTGAGGTCAAGACTAACACCTAGGATTTAAAGATCATTCTTTCTTTTATACCGTATTTCCCCCTAAATACACAGATAGTACAATAAGAATGACTGCATACAGCACAAAAGTGGTCATAAATTAAAATAGAAACAAACCAAAAGTCATATATTCAAGTTGATTTTCTTCAGTCTGTAAAAGTCATCAGTTATTTAGTTATATTACCTAAGTGCACCTAAGTTTCTTCAGTCTACTTTGCATGTTTAAATGAAATGTCATCGAGGTGGTTTACACCATTTGAATTTGCAAGCATAAAAATAGAAAGATAGACTGAAGAGAGAAGAGAAAATAAGTATTGACACAATTTACCACAGAATAAGATAACTTTTCCAGAGTAAAAACACTGATATATAAAGTATAATTTGATAATGGAATGAATAAATGAAAATGAACAGAGATGACCTTGAGATTTTTAACTTCTTCCATTATATATGATTTTTTTTAGCTATAGATACACATTATTTTTTGGCAAATAACAGTAATACACCTTTGGTTGAAAAATAGAAGAGAATATGAGATTAGGCTTTTTTGAATGTCCATGTAAATTTACAAAATGATAAATATGTAAGGTAATACATACATTAGATAACTTGATTTAGCCACTTTATAATGTACACATATATCAAAACATCATGTTGTACACTATAAATATATACAATTTTTACTCATTAATACAATTTTTTATATCAGAAAAAGACTACACAGAAAGATAAAACATAAATGGCAAGATAGAAAAATATACAATGTTTATGGAAAAAATGGTTATTATATTAAAATATAAATAATTATTACATAATAAATAGAAAAAGATCAAAAGTCCAATGGAAAAAAATGAGCAATGGACATAAATAAGCAGTTTGGGGAAGAAAACAACATAAAATGACAGTGAAAGTATAAAAGATTATAACTTTTTCATTATTGAAGAAACACAAATAAAAACAAGAAGAAAGTATCACATTGTCTTCCTACTTAGTAGCATTAAAAAAAATCACTGTTAAAGGTTAGCTGTTAGGTACAGTGCCTCTGGAGCCAGAATCTGCCAGGGTTTTATTACTGGATTGTGTGATCCTGGGCAATGAATGAACATTCTTGTGCTACATTAAAAAACAATCTCTGACTTGATAAAAAGAGAGTATTGTGAAGCTCAAGTGAGACAATGTATACACATCTGAACTTAGGACCCTGTCCCAAGCATACTAAGCATTTAATGAATGTGAGCTTGATATCAATAGCAGTATCATTAATACTAATCACTAATAAGTCATTAATAGTAATACTATATCATTATCTCAGCTTGTCTTGTATATGAGAAAACAGAAAATTTACTATTGGTGGTTCAAGTGATTGTTATAATTTCATAATATTATAACATGAAATTATTGAATTTCATATTATCACTTTGTCTTTGTTTCTAGCATAATATACTGAGTACATAGTTTTCCAGTAAATGGAAGTTAAATCAATGTAGTAGGTGATATCTGGTTATCTAAAGGGCATGGAATAAAAGAGGACCCTATTCAGTAGCTGTTATTTTCTACTCCTATTTTTTCACGTCCTCTTCTCTTCACATTTTATATGGCACTGATAATTTCTCTTATTTTCTTCATATTTTATATGGCGCCAATTTCTCTTTTACGTTATCAGAAAATGAACTTACCTCTTGACAAGAACATGTTGATTCCACTGTCACGTTGACTTTTTGTCCTATTTCTATTTTCTACATGAATCAAAAGAAATCTTAAATCCCACTGACCGTTTTTATGTACGGAGATATAATGAGCAAACCATTCAAAAGGGTGAAAGGATACGAAGGATTTTTGGAATCACTGAAAATACTTCATATTAATTTCAAAGTTCCCAGGAAACAAATTGGGCATTCTGATTATTTAACATGATGCAACTCAGAGGCAGGGATGTAGGTGAGATGTTCTTGAGAGATCCTTCCCACTCATGGTAATATAATACACTGTATTAGACGCCACTCACCTTTTTTCTAAATGTCCAAGAGATATTCACGCCTTTCTTTGTGCTGTGTTTCAAAGGAAGTCTGGTTCAAAGACAGATTAATAAATGCAGTTGAGTTTTTGAATTTTCAATCTTTACGACATTCTAACTCAACTACCTTTTGCCCACTGACCAAGAATGAAATTAGCATGAAACCTGGACTGCATCAAGAACATGTGAGAAAAATACTTATGAGGAGAGGAAAATGTGTATAGTTAGTGTGTCTTCAGTCATTGGGGCATTTTTGACTGACATGGGCTCTCCTCACCAGGTTCCTAGTGGATTTCTACAACGAGAAGTTGACTTTATAGACATCAACAACATTGGAAGTGTCATGGAAAGAAAGTTATGCCTTTAAATAAAGCCAACCAATATTTATTAAGGGAGTACCACTCACACAATTCTGTGTCCTCTTTTTAGCCCTAGAGATTCTAGAGTCCCTCAAGTTTAATTGGTCATTATGTCCAGAGAGTCAATAAGTCAACTCTATTCCTAACTGGGCTGGTTGCATAATACTACCACATATGTCGTTCACAAATTCTAAAACTAGGGTGAAGATTAGAGTAACAAAAATAAACAATGAAAAATAAATTTAAAGTTGTTTAATTAGGAAAGCACAAGGTTTAATGAACTTATAGCCCCAAATTCCTTTTAAATAGTTGCAAGGTCAAATAGGGAGTCCTATGATGGCGTATAGGGAAAAATGATATTTCTATTTTCACTGATTTTAGTAATAAGTGTTTGTAAACTAAAGCTACCAGAGATCTGTAGGTTAAAAATTATGTCATACAAAGTCACTTAACATATTAATATACACATTGAAATTTAAGGTTAGCATTAATTCACTGGGTCAGAACACACAGAAATTACATGAAATTGCAATAGGGGGAATAGTTTTTGAAAGAAGCAGCTGAGGGCTGGGGCGGTGGCTCACGCCTGTAATCCCAGCACTTTGGGAGGCCGAAGCGGACGGATCACCTGAGGTCAGGAGTTCAAGACCAGCCTGGCCAACATGGTGAAACCTAGTGTCTACTAAAAATACAAAAAATTAGCTGGGCATGGTGGTGGGTGCTTGTAATCTCAGCTACTCGGGAGGCAGAGGCGGGACAGGAGAATCGCTAGAACCTGGGGAGACAAGATAAGTCATTGCCCTCCAGCCTGGGCAACAAAAGCGAAACTCCATCTCCAAAAAAAAAAAGCTGATTTATGCAAGTTATGACTTAATATGTGACTTAATAAGTGCTTATCCTAAGATCTTAGTAAAATAAAGAAGTTGTAATTGAATTGAGCATCAGCCTAGATATAATCTTAAGGAAACTAATGTGCTCGTATTTTAATGTATCTATTTTTCCTCATTTTTCTTTTTGTGTAGAATATGATCATTTTCTAAATTAGGACATTTTCTTAGCCTGTGATTTTTGTAACTATATGACATCTGTTGTAGCTAATAATTTATATATAAGTTTAATAGACATATATACATACTTTCTATATGTAATATATATTTGTAATTAGTTTTCAAATACAATTTGTTGTGCTTGGATTATAATAGAAAAGTTATTTTATTTTTTGTGGTTTTACTTTTTTAAAAAAATTTTACCTTAAGTTCTGGGATACATGTGCAGAACATGCAGTATTGTTACATAGGTATATATGTGCCATGGTGGTTTGCTGCACCTATCAACCTGTCATTTAGGTTTTAAGCCCCTCATGCATTAGGTATTTGTCCTAACGCTCTCCTCCCTGTGCCGCCACCCTTCAACAGGCCCCAGTGTGTGATGTTCCCCTTCCTGTGTCCACGTGTTCTTATTTTCAACTCCCACTTATGAGTGAGAACGTGTGGTGTTTGGATTTCTGTTCCCGTGTTAGTTTGCTGAGAATGATGGTTTCCAGCTTCATCCATGTCCCGGCAAAGGACATGAACTCATTCTTTTCTATGGCTACATGGTGTATATGTACCACATTTTCTTTATCCAGTCTGTCACTGATGGGCATTTGGGTTGGTTCCAAGTCTTAGCTGTTGTAAATGGTGCTGCAATAAACATATGTGTGCATGTGTCTTTATAGTAGAATTATTTATAATCCCTTGAGTATATACCCAGTAATGTGATTGCTGGGTTAAATAGTATTTCTGGCTCTAGATCTTTGAGAAATCGCCACACTGTCTTCCACAATGGCTGAACTAATTTACATTTCCACTAACAGTGTAAAAGTGTTCCTATTTCTCCCCAGCATTGCCAACATCTGTTGTTTCCTGACTTTTTTTTTCCCAATGAAATGATTTGAATGGACACTTAAAACTGTTCATGAGTATACAAGATGATAAAGAAAACATTTATTAAATGAATAAAAGCTAAAAAGTGAAATGTTACAAGCAAATATCAAATATCCCGAATCTCTAGAATTTTATTGTTGAATATGCCTTAGTTATTACAAGTGGTCTTTATTCTTGGTGACTTAGGGATTCCCAAGAAATGTGCAATCACTCCTGGCAACTCAAAGTAGTAATAAGTTAACCTCAAGAGAACAATCTTGGTTAAAAAAAAATTTTAAGTGTATTTTATAAATTATTATTATTTTTATTTTACTTTAAGTTCTGGGATATATGTGTAGAACGTGCAGGTTTGTTACATAGGTATACATGTGCCATAATGGTTTGCTGCACCTATCAACCTGTCATCTTTAAGCCCTGCATGCATTAGGTATTTGTCCTAATGCTCTCCCTCCCCTTGCCCCCCACCCCCTGACAGGCCCCGGTGTGTAAAGTTCCCCTCCCTGTGTCCATGTGTGCTCATTGTTCAACTCTCACTTATGAGTGAGAACATGAGGTGTTTGGTTTTCTGTTCCTGTGTTAGTTTGCTGAGAATGATGGCTTCCAGCTTCATCCGTATCCCTGCAAAGGACGTGAACTCATTCTTTTTTATGGCTACATAGTATTCCATGCTGTATAATTGTATTAATAGCACATCCAGGGGTGCAGCATTGCTACATGTCTTCTCTATCCAGGCACACTGATCGATCAGGGTAATTTATTTATTCATTGTTTGCAAGGTTCTATGCCAGCCAGCCAGTGCCAAGGACTTCAGAGATAAGCCACAATACCTGCCTATGTGTCTGGTTGGAACATGAACATGGAAACAAACCATTTAATCATTTACTCAATAAATCTTTATGTCATGGTGATAAGTGTCAGGCACTGTCATGTGCACAGGAGATATATTGATAATCAAAAGAAATAAAGTCTCTGTTCTAATGAAGCTTACATACTAGTAAGGAGATAGAAAACTAATAATAAGTAAATAGATATATAATACAATGTCAGATAGTGATAAATGCTATGAAGAAAAAGAAAGCAGGGTAAGAGAATCAAAATTAGCTGAGGCTGTTACTTTAGACAGCATGGTCAGTCAGTTTCTGTGAGGGGGCAACATTTGACCTGAACAGAGTTAGGGGTTCTCATTCACTTGGAAGATTCTAAACTGAGATTTCGAGTTTGAATTTTTTTTGAAATGTTGCCAGTTAATGCATCAATAATTTATCAGCCGGTGTTCATTATATAACGTTATACTTTAACAAGGACACTAAGCACTAAACTATTTAAAGATCTTCGTCTTTACAAAGGTACTACAAAGGAAACTACAAAGACTGTAGTTTCTGAAGTTAAGAAATGCAGACCGATCCTTTGTTTCTGCATTCATCCATTTGCATTGCTATAAAGGAATACCTAAGACTGGGTAATTTACAAAGAAAAAAGGTTTATTTTGGCTCACAGTTGTTTCCTGACTTTTTAATAATATATATATTTTATATATATTATATATATATATATATTTTTTTATCATTGGGATTAAATTTTGGCCTGGTGTTCACTTTCTTTATATATTTATGAACAATTTAATAATGAGGTGAAATAGCCTTAAGTCTGATATATGATGCACCCACATATAAATGGAAATGGCATGCACAAAGACACTTTACTATTGGAACTGTATTGGAAAATTTATGAAATTTTAGGTAAAATTGCACCTAAAATTGTGTTATTAGTGACTGTAAGTAGCAATGCTAAATTTATTGTACTTGATGAATGAATGTATTTAGGCTAGTCATGGTTACTTTGGTTTAAATGTCTAAATAACATCTTTAGTTTTAAAAATGTGTTTGTAATTTGTACTATTGACAGGAGGATATTCTTGGACTGCAGCGGTTATTGGCAATGTGTGATTTGTGTTTTCTTACTTTATAGAATTATCTAATGTGATATGCTGATTTTTACAGGTAATATTTAGATATTTCCAATAATTGTATATTTGACAACCTACTAAAATGATTTGCTTTGGGAAAAAACTGAAAAACAATACTCAAACATAGGCTGCCTGTAAGAGGCTAACTTTAACTTAAAGAACACACATTGACTGAAAAAAATATTTCATGCAAGTAGAAACCAAAAGACAGCAGGGGTAGCTCTACTTATATTAGACAGACTTTAAGTCCAAAACTGTAAAAAGAGACAGAGAAAGTCATTACATGATAAAAGGGTCAATTCATCAAAAGGACGTAACAATTGTAAATATATATACACCTAATACTAGATCATCTAAATGTATAAAGAAAGTATTAATAGACCTAAAAAGAAACAGACTGCAATACAGTAATAGCAGGGTTTTTCAACACTTCACTTTCAACAATGAACATGTCATCTAGACAGAAATCAATAAGGAAACACTGGACTTGAAACGCACATTAGATCAAATGGACCTAACAGACATATATAGAACATTCCATCCAACAGCAACAGAATACTCATTCTTCTCAAGTGCAAATGGGACATTATCCAGGATCAAATATTAGGGAACAAAATAAGTCTCCACAGTTTTAAGAAGATCGAAATCATATCAAGTATCTTTTCTGACCACAAAGTTATGAAAGTAGAAGTGAATAATAGGAGAAAATTTAAAATATTTACAAACGTGGAAATTAAACAACATGCTCCTGAATAAACAATGGGTTAAATAAAAAATCAAAAGCAAAATTAAAAAAAATCTTAAGACAGATGAAAATGAAAACACAACATACCACAACTTATGGCATGTAGCAAAAGAAGATATTAGCAAGAGGAATGTTTGTAGTAATAAATGCCTATATTAAAAAAGAAGAAAGATCCCAAACAACCTAATGTTACATTTCAAGAAACCAGAAAAAGAGAAGAGCAAACTAATCCCAAAGTTAGCAGAAGGAAGGAAATAACAAAGATCAGAGCAGAAATAAATAAGAAGCTAGAAAACAATAGAATGCATTCACAAAACTAAGACTTGAATTTTTGAAAAGATAAAAACAATTGGCAAAACTTGAGTAGACCAACTAAGAAGAAAAGAAGACTCTAATAAAGTCAAAAATGAAAGAGGAGACATTACAATTGATACTACAGAAGTACAAAAGCTCATAAAAGAATACTATGAACAATTTTACACCAACGAATAGGGTAACCTAGAAGAAATGGTTAAATTTCTAGAAACATAACAAAAATGAATCATGAAAAAAACAGAAAATCTGAACAGACTAATAATGAGTAAGGAGGTTGAATCAGTAATAAAAGTCTTCTACCAAACAAAAACCCAGAATATGATGGATTTTGCATTCATGGTTTGGAAGAATTAATATTATTAAAATATGTGTACTACCTAAAGTGATACACAGATTCAGTGCAATTTCTATAAAAGTTCAATGACTTTTTTGTTTCACAGAAATAGAAAAAGCAATTTAAAAATTCATATGGAATGACAAAAACCCCTAAGTAGCTGAAGCACTTTTGAGCAAAAAGAGCAAAGCTGGAGGCATCACACTACCTGTTTCAAAATATATTACACAGTTATAGTATTCAAAACAGAAAGGTAGTGGCATAACAACAGACACACGGACCAATGTAATGTGATAGAGAGCCCAGAGATAAACTCATGCATTTGTGGTTAACTGATTTTTGCCAAAGATGCCAAGAATGAACACACTATGGAGAAAGGGCAGTATCTTTAATAAATGATGCTGGGAAAATCAAATACCCAAATACAGAACAATGAAATTGAAACCTTATTTCACACCATATGCAAAAATCCTCTAAAAATGGTTTAAAGATTTAAATGTGTGACCAGAAAATGTAAAATTACTAGAAGAAAACATAGGGAAAAATGTTCTTGAAATTAATCTTGGCAATAATTTATTGGTGATGATCTCAATAGCACAGGAAACCAAAGCAGAAATAGACAAATGGGATTACCTCAAACCAAAAACCTTCTGTATAACAAAGTAAATAACGGATTGAAGAGACAACCCATGGACTGGGAGAAAATATTTACAAACCATACATGGCTAATATCCAAAATATGTAAGAAATGCAAACAACTTAAATTTGTTAGCAAGAAAACAAAGAACCCCTTTTAAAACTGAGCAAAACACTTAATGGACATCTTTCAAAAGATGACATAAAAGACTAACAGATACATAACAAAATTTCTCAACATCAAGGAAATACAAATTAAAACCACAATAAGATATCACCTCATACCTGTTAGAATGGCTATATCAATAAAATAAGAGTTAATAAGTATTAGCAAGGATGTGGAGAAGGGAATCCTTATATACTAATGGTAGTAATGTAAATTAATACAGCCATTATTGAAATCAGCATGGAGGTTCCTCAAAAAAAGATAGAATTACCATATGATCCAGCAACTATATTTCTGAGTACATAGCCAAAGAGATTGAAATTAATATGTTAAAAATATATTGGTAGATTTTCCTCTAATTTGGTCTTAACGTCTCTCTTTGAAGAGGAGCCAGAAACTCTAGCCCTGCTCTGATGGGCTCCAGTGGAGGTGGTTGTGGTTGTGGATGTTTTCAGTGTTTTTTTCGTGGAATACTTCTATATCCTGATGGAGAGCTAATGCCTAATTGTCCTATTTATGACCAGGTGTCCCTCTCACTGGAAACTCATTTTCACTGGCAGACACCCTTGTGGCTCTTGTCTGACTAGTGTGTCCAGTTCATTCCTACCAAGATAACCACTCTTTAAGAGAGCCTTGTCCAGAAAAGAAGTTAATTTCACGTATGTCAGTCACGCGAGACGCAAGTAAAAAAAAACACGTAATAGAAGTAGTTTTATTACTTAAAGATCCAGAGAGAAGAAGGAAACTTTCCTCACAGGCCTAACGGGAGAAGGGGCAGCCCTCAGAGACATGCATGCTCAACCAGTGGGTGGGTAGCAAGGGAGAGTGAGTGACAGCCGAGAAGGCCGAAGCCTTTACTGGGGTACACAGCATTTCCTAAGCAGGGAGTAACTGATTGCTGGGTTTAAAGCAAGCAGGCATGAGTTCTTGGGAGTTATGTTGTATTGAGAGGTGTTCACTACTGCAAGTCTGCAGTCCATGTGGGGTGTGGGGATCAGTGGGATAAGTCAAACAGGTTGTATCTAGGTGCTCCACAGGAAGGTGGAAACCAAGAGGCCAAATATCTGGATTGACCACCTGAAGAAACTGGGAGAGGAGAACTCGAAATTGTGTTAAGGGTGACTAAGCCCTGCTTCTGGTATGAGAAAGTTCAACTTATATTGAAAATAAACACTGAGGCAACATAAAATCATAAGAATTCACTACAGATATTTGCACTACCATGTTCATTGTAGCATTATTCACAATAGCTGAGATATGGAAGGAACTTAAATGCCCATCAATGGATAAACAGATAAATATATAAAAGGGATATAATGTGATATATATGAGCCACATTATCTATATAAAATGGAATACTATCCAGCCTTAAAGAAAAAAGGAAATTCTGTCTTTTCAACAACATTCATGAACCTGCAGGACATTATGCAAAGTGAAAGAAGCCAGACACAGAAAGACAAATACCACGTGATCTCACTCATATGTGGAATCTAAAAAAGATAAACTCATGCAAGTGGAGAGTAGAATATAGCTACCTTGGGGGTAGGGGATGGGGAAAGGGGAGATTTTAAACACAAGATATTTTTTAACCTTTTGCAGGAAAAATCTTGGAATTGAATTTAAAAGACAACTGGGATGGCATAAATAATATAGGTCAGTCTCAAAGAGCACGTCATTAGTAAGGAATAGATATACAGTTTAGTCTTTATGTATTCTAGTTTTTCAGTTGAATGGCTCTGAAATCACTCCTTTTTTCCAGTTGTCTTGTAAATTTTACCCTTAGCCCCATGGAAAACTGAAAAAAAATCACATGGCTCAGTAAAACCCATTCCCTTTATTGTAAATATAACTCACAGCATCTTTTCCCATATTTGTAAGTGATAAATTCACTGTCATCACAGTAAGACTATAACATCATACTGAAGATATTTCTGTGAAGAGTTTTGTACTGAGAACACCACACCAGGACAACTTGAAGGGCATTAATTGCAACTTTGGGATTTATACTCCCAAAGGCCCCAGTCAATGAAAGAGTATCCCATTATTCTTTTTGGTTCCATAAAGATTCCATTTACTCTGGGATAAAGGGTCCATCCCCTGATACCTTGAATGCTCTAAAGTATTCCCACATTCTGCTAAAAAGCAGATCTTTTGGACAAACTCAGGCTCTCTTTTCTGTAGCAATGACAATCACAGTTATTTCCAGACTCTGTTCTCCATAGTTAGATTTAAAACATTGGCAAAAATGTTATAAGAAGGCAATTAGGTTGATGTTTCTAGGTTGCATGGCAACCAGAGAGCCCCTTCATCAGTTTATACATGATGAGGTCGTAGGCCAGGTAGAGAGTGACAGGGAACAGGGACAAACACAGGAAGGTCAGTACTGAAAGAAGTTGGCGCACTTCTTAAGGGGTGTACAGCTTCTGTATTTCAAAATTGCAGGAAGTGTAGATTTTAAATGTTCTTACTACAAAAAAATGATGTGTGTGAGGTGATAGGTACATTAACTAGCTTAATATAATCATTCTATGATGTATATACATATCAAAACATTACAATGTACTCCATACATATATACAATTATTACTAGTCAATGAAAAAGTAAGAAAACAAACCAGATATAGTATAAAGGAATGAATATGACACGAATTGGGAAAATGTCTCTTAGTAATAATTGGGGAAAGAAGAGACACTCAGCCATCCATTTTCCCTACAGTGTTTGATTTAAAAGAAGAGAGAAGATATTTTATTCCATAGTTCATAAAAGCTACATTTGATAGGGTCTTCATTTCCCTCTTTTCCTCCAAGAAGAAAATCGAAGCTGCAAACTTTTCTCTACGTGAGTTCTGGGTTTTTTTTTTTTTTTGTCCCTTATTTCCTATCCTTTTTATCGACTCTGGAAGAATGCTGAAAGATGGTTTATACAACAGAAAAATATCAGATTTCACCTTTTAATTACTGTAGTAAGGAAGTCAGGCAGCTGCATTAGGAAAGAAAATTATACCTGCATTAGCAAAAGTATCCACAACATTTGAGTTCAAGTATCTTACAGAATATTACCTTTCAACCTAGCGAAATTTTTAAAAAAATTCTTGCAATTTTTCCATGATTTCTCAAACGGTAATGATCATTTCATTATCAACAATATGGAAAAGTGTACAGATATCTTTGTACCTGTCTGGAGCATCTGCACAGACTTGGCCCAAGTTCAACGTTCCTAGCTCTCCAGCTGTAACTCAACTAATTAGGCAAACCCTTACATCTTTTTCAAGAGTCAAGATTAGAATATTTGAGTTGTTAAAAGTTTTTCAAAACACTGAAGGTGAGTTGGGTGTAAATAAATTTGTCTTTTGTCATATTTTATCAGAGAGTATGAGAGGAAGAGTTGGCTGTGGCAGGAGGGGAGCAGAAGGGGGATGGCAATGCTATTTAGGAATATTGAAGAAAACCCAGAAATACAAATTATAAGTTGTGACTCAGAATTTAAAGTATAGTTCAGTTATTGGCCTAAAGCATATAAAATTTTTTAGAAACCACATTTAAGTCTTCTTGTCCCTGTCTAACAATCCTGTGTTATACATTCTTTCAATTTCAAATGCCACATTCTGACCTCCTCTTCACTGTTGTGCCTCAAAGCACTCTTCCTTTCTCTCTTACACCTCCCGGTGTTTTTGTTAGACTCTGTAATCTTTCTGTCTTCCAATAATAATTATACCCCCATGTAACTTTGGAAGCACTCTATCACTGATATCTCTACTCTATTTCACTTTATTAATCAGCTTTGCTTATATTGTGAATTTTTATAAGTTGGTGTGTGTGTGCATGTCTGTTTAAACCTTCATTTGCATGTTATTTTATTCGTCTAGAAATAAACTGCTAGCATAAATAAATGAATATCATTTAATTCTTTCTATAATCATATCCAATTATTTCTTTTCAGTTCATATTAATATTTTAAAGTGACTACCTAATTGCTCTTTAACATGGGAAGTTCCTATCTATAAGTAAGATTATTATGGCTGCAGTTATTCCTTTCTCTGTAACTGCAAAATTGGAAATAGTCTGAAAATGCAAAAAAAAATCAATTTAACTTTTTAAAATAAAAAATTATTTTCTTAAATATTGTCTTTCTGATTATGGAATATCTTAGTCTTCATTTATCCAAATGTTAACTCAAGGATGTATATAAAAGAACTCAGTAACTTGAAAAGCTATTACTTGTATCCACAGCTGGACAAATATCTCAATGAAGCATACAAAGGAAACTGTATAAAAATTCTACTGCCATAATGGTGCACACTATCTGGAATTGGGATACTTTTTTCTCCAATCTGTTTGCAAGTGAGCAGTTGGCAATGCATGGACAGACTTTGAGTTTATGCGATTCTTTCTTTAGGTACAGGAAAAATAAGAATGTTGATGAAAAAAAATGCAAGTTTTGAAGACTTCTTTATTCTACTTGGATTTTCTAACTGGCCTCATCTGGAAGTAGTTCTCTTTGTGGTTATCTTGATCTTCTACTTGATAACACTGATAGGAAACCTGTTCATCATCATCCTGTCATACCTGGACTCCCATCTCCACACTCCCATGTACTTCTTCCTTTCAAATCTCTCATTTCTGGATCTCTGCTACACCACCAGCTCTATCCCTCAGTTGCTGGTGAATCTCTGGGGCCCGGAAAAGACCATCTCTTATGCTGGTTGTACAGTTCAACTTTACTTTGTTCTCGCACTGGGAACCGCAGAGTGTGTCCTACTGGTGGTGATGTCCTATGATCGTTATGCAGCTGTGTGTAGACCTTTGCATTACACTGTCCTCATGCACCCTCGTTTCTGCCGCTTGTTGGCTGCGGCTTCTTGGGTAAGTGGTTTTACAACCTCAGCACTTCATTCCTCCTTTACTTTCTGGATACCCCTATGTAGACATCGCCTAGTGGATCACTTCTTCTGTGAAGCTCCAGCACTTCTGCGATTATCATGTGTTGATACCTAGGCAAATGAGCTGACCCTCATGGTCATGAGCTCCATTTTTGTTCTCATACCTCTCATCCTCATCCTCACTTCCTATGGTGCCATTGCCCGGGCTGTACTGAGCATGCAATCAACCACTGGGCTTCAGAAAGTGCTTAGGACATGTGGAGCCCATCTTATGGTTGTATCTCTCTTTTTCATTCCAGTCATGTGCATGTATCTCCAGCCACCATCAGAAAATTCTCAAGATCAAGGCAAGTTCATTGCCCTCTTTTACACTGTTGTCACACCTAGTCTTAACCCTCTAATCTACACTTTCAGAAACAAGGATGTAAGAGGGGCAGTGAAGAGACTAATGGGGTGGGAATGGGGGATGTGACAGGGAAATCATGTTGGCTGTTGTTTTTCCTAGGGTCTTATCCATTTTGAAAGGTTGTTTCCCTGCTTCTTTGTGATTTGTGTTTCATCTAACAGCTCACAAAACATGGAATAGTTCAGTTCCCCCATTTGTTGCTCTGTTTAATATTTAGTTCTGAAATATTATGTTGAGATAAAGGTTTTGATTAGTACCATTTTGTTCTTTTACAATTCTATATTTATTTCCATGAAAATTGTGGACTGTGGTTTCAACATAAATAAATGTGTGTGTGAATAATTATGAGGAGATTATTTAAAAAATATTGGCAATATTTCTGACAATGTGCTAAATTATGAACTGACCATTGATATGTATAGGAAGAGAAGGGCAATATTGCAAAGATGTAGGCTGAAGAAGTTTTTGGTTATTAAATAAACCTTAAATGAAGCTAAAAATAGTCACAGCAAAGAAAAATAGTAAACATAATGAATAACACCATTTATTATATGGTAAAGGATATGTCATAATTTTTTGGTTGAAGTTCACTTTTTAAAGACACTAAATTATATAATTTATCCTGTAGGTCTGCATTCTTGTCACATTGAACAGTAAACTAATATCTCTTTAAAATGGCTGATTCGTTCATCTGTCCATTTATTCATTAACTTATTCTTCATTAGCTAAATCTTACTGGACATGTACTCTCTCCCAGTTTGTGAAATTCTTGGTAACATGTATAAATATAACATACTTTGTCTGAACAGAATGCACTCTCTATCGGGAAAAATGGCAACATAAGATAAAAGATGAAGTATCTGTACATGGCTTAATTTGTCACTGGGGTTAATGCTAATAAATTAAGATAGCTTTTAAAAATCAGAAACAATATACTCTGATTACTCTTCAGATTGTATACATCTTTCACTTTTTAAAAATCGAAAGCAAAACAATAAGTTTGATAATAAACTCTGATAATAAATTCATAGCTCCTGTAGGAAGACAGTGCTATTAAATGAAACAAAGCAGAATATGTGCTTAATTTGCTTTAGTTGGCCTAGTTAATGACATATTAAAGATAGCTTAAAACTCTTAACATCCTTGTTCTTTGCTGAATAGCATTATTAAAAAAATTTCTTTATTTTGATTTTATTTTTTCCAGCTTTACTGAGGCACAAATAAAATAACATATATTTAATGTGCACAATGTGATTATATATAAATCAAACCAAATTGTGAAATTATTACCACAGTCAAATTAACACATCCATCATCTCACATCGTTACTGTGTGTAGGGGGAGCGGGGAGGGTCAGGACACTTAAGATCTAATCTCTAAGCAAATTTCAAGTATACAGTACAGTATTATTAACTATAGTCACCATAATCTACATTAGATCTCCAGAATGTATTCATCTTATGACAGAAAGTTTGTACAATTTGGCTGTCTCTCCACTTCCCACCCTCCAGCCCATGGCAACCACCATTCTATTCTCTGCTTCTATGGGTTCAGTTTTTTTATTTTTTTGATACACGGTCTCACTCTGTCACACAGGCTGGAGTGCAGTGGTGCGATCTTGGCTCACTGCAACCTCTGCCTCCCGGCTTCAAGCAACTCTCCTGCCTCAGCCTCCCCAGTAGCTGGGACTACAGGCACCCGCCACCACGCCCAGCTAATTTTTGTATTTTAGTAGAAACTAGTTCTCACCATGTTGGCCAGGCTGGTCTTGAACCCCTGACCTGAAATGATCCACCTGCCTTGGCCTCCCAAAGTGCTGGGATGACAGGCGTGAGCCACTGTTCCTATCCGAGTTCAATTTTTTTAGATTCCACATGTAAGTGTTATCATACATCTTTTGTCTTTCTGTGTGTGGTTTATTTCACTTAGCACAATATCCTCCAGTTCATCCATGTTATAACAAATGGCAGGATTTTCTTTTTATTGGCTGAATAATATTTCTCGCTGTGTGTGTGTGTGTGTGTGTGTATGAGATCACATTTTCTTTATCCATTCCTCCATCAATGGATGCTTAGGTTGTTTCTTCATCTTGGCTGTCATGAATAGTGCTGCAATGAACATGGGGGCATAGATACCTCTTCGGAATACTTACTTCATTTTTCTTGGATAAGTACCCAGTGGGATTATTGGGATCACATCACATCTCACACAGACTTCACAAAATATGAGAACATAGATTCCTCCTGCCTCCGTGGAAATCTTACCATTTGTAATATGTCATGTGTCACTCCAGCTTCTCAAGATCTACAAGACTCTTTTCTTTTCAAATTTATTGAAGTATAATTTATGTACAAAGAAATCTACACATTTTAAGTATATAGTTCAATGAATTTTTTTATATTTTCTTTTTATTGTATTTTTGTTAGACATCAAATATTGGATTTAATAAGCTATCGGAAAAAGTGTATAATTATAATCCTTTATACTGTAACAGTACTACACAACTTATAAAGCACATTAATATATTTTGTTTCATTAGAATTTTGGTCATCATAGAAACCCTAAAGCTTTGTTGACTATTAGCCTCTTGAAACAAAAGAAAAATAAGATATAAACATTATTGTTCCTATGTTAAAGATTAGGAAATTGAGTCTCAGAGAGATTAAGTAGTCTTGTCTAAATGCACGCACTAACAAATGGCAAATTTGAGTCTCAAAGACAGGTTTCTCAATATCAAATTGAAAGAATAGTTCAGTGAGTTTGACAAATGTATAATTGTGTAAATGCCACCACAATCAAGATTATAGGACATTTCTATTACTCCCCAAAGAACTTCCGTTTTGTAGTCAACTTTCCCCTTTTAGTCATAGCCTGAGGCAGCATTAATTTTCTCTAAATGTACTTGGTTTTTCCCACTTTTAGAATTTCAAATAATTGCAATCATGCAGTGTGTAATCTTTGGGTGTGGCTTGTTTCATTTAGCATGATGTTTTTGACATTTATTATGTTGCCACATGTATCAGTTACTTTTTCCTTTTTATTGCTTGTTAGAACTCCATTGTACGAATGTGCGACAATTTATCCATTTATCTGTGAAGGGCTTTGGGAGTATTTAAAATTTTTGGCTATTATGAATAATGCTGCTATGAAAATTTGTATACAAGTGTTTGTGTGGATGCATGTTTTCACTTAATTTGGGTAAATACCTTTTATTTGTACCTCTCCAGGAGGACCACATGCTTAGTGTATATTATCTTTATGAGATACTGCAAAAATGTTTTCAAGTGGCTGTTCTATTTTCACTTCAAACAGCAGTGTATGAGAGTTCCAAATGAACTCACATTCTTTCTAATACTTGGTATTGTCAGTTTTTATACTTTTCACCTCTCAAGTTAGGTTACCTGTGGCTATAATTTGCATTGAGGGGTGTTGACATTGACCATCCTCTTGTGTGCTTTTCATATGCTTCATATATGTTATTTTGTGTAGCTTCTGTTCAGATATTTTACTCACTTTAAAAATTGGGTCATTTGTCTTCTTATTGTTGAATTTGAAGTTCTTTGTATACTCTGAACTCAAGTCCTTGGTCAAACAAATCTTTTGCAAATAGAATACTGTCATATCTTTCAAAGAGAAAAATTTTAACTTTAATAAAATACAGTGTGTCATTTCCACAGAAAAAGCCTGGTGGCATTTTGATTGGGGATTGCATTGAATTTATAGACCAATTGGAGAAGAACTGGCAACTTGACAACATTGACTTTTCTGATCTGGGGACATGATATAGATCTCCATTTACTTACATCTTATTTTCTTTCAGAAGCATTTGAGGTTTTCATTGTATAGCTATTGTCCATATTTTGTTAAAGTCACCTCTATGTATTTCATGTTTTTAGATACCACTATAAATTGTATAGAAATATGACTGATTTTTTTCCATCGTCTGTTTTATTTTATTTTATTATTATTTAAGTTCTAGGGTACATGTGAACAACGTGCAGGTTTGTTACGTAGGTATACATGTGCCATGTTGGTTTGCTGCATCCATCAATTAATCATTTACATTAGGTATTTCTCCTAATGCTATCCCTCCCGCATCCCCCCCACCGCCCCCACAGGCCCTGGTGTATGATGTTTCCCCCCAGGTCCAACTGTTCTCATTGTTCAATGCCCACCTATGCGTGAGAACATGTGGTGTTTGGTTTTCTGTTCTTGTGATAGTTTGCTGAGAATGATGGCTTCCAGCTTCATCCATGTCCCTGCAAAGGACATGAACACATCCTTTTCGATGGCTGCATAGTACTCCATGTTGTATATGTGAATTTTCTAGGCCTTAACTCCAACTGAGCTTCCCATCTACAATGCTTTAATAGTTTGTGATCTACTCTAATTCACATTCCTCCCATACAAAGCACTCAAATTAACAGAAGCTCAACAGAGATCATTTAGTGTCTTTTATTCCTTTTGATTCCTCAGATGTGACTTTCAATGTGTTTTATTTATCTGAGTGTGTATTGTAGAGAAAAAAGTTGAGGGTTGCTTCCTTAGAAATACTTTGCTGTAATTAAATCATGTTATGCCAGCTGTATTTTCACAAGTTACTAACATCACACCTAAAAATGTTAACATTTGCTGGCACCCAGTAGATTGGCAGGGGCCAAAAACTCTCCTACAATTCTAGTTACCAAAACATGAAAAATATTGGAGCTTGGTACAATCTCCTACAGACCAGGATATCAGACATTTCCTGGATTTTGATAACTGATTGAATTCTGCTAGTCCCCACAGGTTGTAGGATCACTGGTCAAATTCCTCTCCAATAAGATAGAGAAGTTTAGACATATGATTATATGACTATTTAATCATATTTATCTTAAAAATAATATTTAATATATTTTAAAGTAAACTGGAATGATATATACCAAGCTCATGGTAGTTGTCTCTGGATTTAGTGTTGGGTCAGAGAGTGACAGTTGAAGGGGATATGAACTTTATCTGTGATACTTTATGTGCTAAAAATTCTGAAAATAAAAATGACAAAAGTTATGGTTGATGATTCTGAATGATGGGAACATAAGGGTTTATTTTTAATATTTTAAATATCTAAAATAAAGGATGAAGAAATAATATAGAATGACTTGTTAAAATATCACTTCAAATTAAAATTCACTATAATGGTAATAGCAGCTAACATGTATTGAATGATTATGCACTAGGCATCGAGGATAATGTTTACGTATTTTTCACATGGAGTTTTCACAACAATCAAGACTACTGAAGCCAAGACTGTTTTCAGTTGCTTCACATAAGTGGACAGGAAAATACCTGATCATGCTCTTAAAAGTACTGACTTTAAAATATAATTGTATTGTAAATGTGACTTGATTTTCATACCAAGACTTTGTCTGGTACACATGGAATATATCACCTAGACACAATGTAACAATTGAAAAATCTTCATTAGTTTATAAACTCACGATGTGCTTTTTTTTTTAAACATGGGATGTAGGCTAGCTATCACAGCTAATTTAGCTTTTTTATATATTTCTGCAAAGCTTTTAACAAGACATCAAAAGAAATTATTGATAACAATATTTTGGAAATATTAAATAATTTTGTTAAAAGTTTTCTGAGTTTGGTAGTGACCTTCTGAGTATAGTTTGAATGGTCTTCAAAGGTAATTTTTAACACTTTTGCAGGGCTGAACTTGGCCTTGAATTTTAGAGATGTTAGACACAATTAAAAATTCAAATTAATAAAACAAATATGTATAATGTAGTCATTATATTTCCTTTTAAAAAATGTTTCATGCCTTTTCCCATTCCCAAATTAGACTACCTAACAAGCTATATCTCAAATTTGGCCTCTAGCATACTGAAGAATTGGGGAAGAGGTTTCAGGTAACTCAAGATAACCCATTCCCTTCCCTGCAGATACAGCTCAAAGTATTTTTCTCTGCTATGGCTGGACTATAGATTCCTTGTCATCCTCGTACAACAATGTGGCATCATGCCAAGAACATCACTGAGAAACTGTTCTAACCAGGATAACTCCTTGAAGGGCATTAATTGCTACTTTGGGATTTACCCTCCCAGTGGCCCAAGTCAAGGAAAGCAAGTCACATTCTTTTGTTTCCAAAAAGGGCCCATTGACTCTAAGATAAAGACCCATCCCTTGATACACTGAAAGCTCTAATAAGTTTATCTTTTGGGTAAAACTAAATTTTTTTAGTAGACTCAGAGCTTTCTCTTCTGTAGCAATGATAGTCATAGCTACATTCAGACTGTTTTCCTAATTGATGTAGTAGATGAGGGAAGTGTAGGCATTTATGTTGGTGATTTCAAGGTGATCAAAATCAGAGATCAGATCAGTCTGTGCATGATGAGGGCATCAGCTAGGAAGACAATATACAGGGAATGTGGACAGATACAGGAAGGACAGAGTGAAAGGCATTGTTTGAGTACTGCTTAAGTACTAGGTAATATATAAAGAAATATTATGGTAAGAATAAAAAAACTTGGCCAGTGACATGGGGATGGGGAAAAGAGATTATTTTCTCCCTCCGTTATACCTGATTTCCAAAACTAGAGAGGATCACTTATTCCTAGTCCATGAAAGCAACTTTTAACTTTTAATTTTTGTGGGTACACAATAGGTGTATGCATTTATGGGGTACATGAGATTTTTTTTGATAATTTCTTTCTTTTTATTTTTTGTAGAGACATGGTCTCACTTCATTGCCCAGGCTAGTCTCGAACTTCTGGGCTCCAGAGATCCGCCCACCTTGGCCTCCCAAAGTGTCAGGATTACAGGTGTGAGCCACGGCACCCGACCCAGGTATTTTTGATACAGGCATACAATGTGTAATAATCACAGCAGGCTAAATGGGGTATCCATCACCTCAAGCATTTATCCTTTCTTTGTGTTAAGGATAACTTAAACTTTTGATATGGCTTTTGATAAGGCTTTTAACTTTTGATAAGGCTTTTATTTTCTGCTCCACCAGGAAGAAGAAAATTAACCCAGAAAAATTCCTACCTTTTCCTTGCTTGCATCTGGTAAGTTTTTGTTTGTTTGCTTCTTATCTCATATCTCATTCTAACCTCTCTATGTAAGATTGCTCAAAGATGGGTCATGCAATTGGCAAAGGTATCTCACAGCTAAATGTTGTTTTAGTTAATGTAATAAATTATCGAGGCAACTGTACAAGAAAGAAGAAAATTTTATCTGCATGAGAGAAGGTAACTATAACATTTGTGTTCATATTTCTCATGATGTATTATCTCCTATTCTAGAGAAATTTTTAAAAATCTCTTGGAAAATTTTCATCTTCCCTCAAGGGCTGTGACCTCTAAGTCAAGTAATCTTCATGATTTACTCTTTGACTATTGCTGCTTTTTGATTCAGCTATAGCTTTTAAAATTTTCTTTTAAAACAATGTGCAGACTGATTTTCCTGGATGGTTGTTTAAGTTGTTGAAAGTAATCTAGATTAGTGTAACAACTGGCTAATGATTATTTACATTACCAAGTCTGTTAAAAGGTCTGAGGTCAATCTTTTAATCTTGGGACCAAACTGAATGTTCCAAACTTTTCTGCTGAAACTCAACCAATTAGCTACTCCTGACATTTCTTTCAGGCATTGAATTTATAAAACATGAGCGATTAAGAGACCCCTAAAAGAGGCAATCACAGGTGGCCCCACAATGATTTCTTTCTTCCTGTGCCATAGCCAATTGGGAGGTATAAGAAAAATAACCGACTGTGGAAGGAATGAAATAGAGGGCATGTGGCAAAGCTGGAAGAGGCAAAGAATTCAGAGAAAATGGGGTATTTAAATGGTGGGTTGCTATGCCTGACACAATAACTATATAACAAAAATAAGTATCATTTTTTTCTATGAAAGATTGAAAACTCACTGGAGAAAAAGCATCACCTAGGAGTCATAACTATTTGTAAGATATATTTTATTTTTAACAAAAAAAGTAACATGAGATTCACTGGGCACAATGTATTAAATGATGAACAGCCACTTAATGATTCATTAAATATTCAGAACTCTCTAACTTGGAGAATAAATATGTACTAATTATAGCTCATGCTCAGAATTTATATACTATCTAAATTATTGTCCTGGAGAAAAATACATCATGTAGAAACCTTCTTCAGGCCCTGTGGTTCAGCTTCTTGAACCCTGTGATAGACACACCTGCAACTCTAAGAACTACACTCAGGTTCTCCTCCATTTTCCTGCCCCTCCCACTTTTCCTTCCTTCTCTGTTCTCTCACTGAATTTTTATCTTCCTTTCCTTTCTGTAAAGTTTGAATCTTTTCAAATTCAGTTGTAGTCACACATCCTTTAGAAAGCATTCTATCACTGTTCTCCCCAGATTTTTAGCTTAGTTCGTATCATGAATACCCATATATTGATGAGCAAGTGTCTGTGTCTTCTCTACTTGTATTCAATTTTTCAGTTTAGAAATACATTTTGAGTCCAAGTAAACAAATCACAAGATAAGATTCTTATCTAATTGAAGCTAAACATTTTTTCTTTAGGTGAACATTTTGAAATGACTAAATTCAATATTTTCCACATATCTTTTCATCCATATGTAAGATTATTGTGATTGCAATGATTACGTTTTCCACAATCACATTTAAGAAAATAACCTGAAAATGCTGAAAAGAAAACTAAAGTTCCTTATTTATTAACAAAGAAAGATTTTGTGTTTTATGGAAATTATCTTCCTTAGCTAGGTTAGGAATTTCCTTCAATTACCATTTACCTAGATGTCACCCTAAAATGAATGAGAACTTGATAGTTATTTTTCTATAATAAGGCAAACATCTAAATAAAATATAAAATTAAAAAATTATTTTGTATTTTTGTGACTTTTTATTATGGTAAAATTTCAAACTTAGAGAAGAGTTGCAAAAAAGTAGTACAAAAGACTAACATTTACCCTTTTACCAGATTGAGTATTAGTTTACATTTTCCCCCAAAGCTTTGTTATATCATCTATCAACTATCTATCTATTTATCTATCTATCTATCTATCTATCTATCTATCTACCTATCTATCTCTTTTTCTGGGCTAGTTGAGAGTAAGTTGGAGATGACACGTTCCTTTATGCCAAATACTTTATTCAGTGTTTTTTGTCTAAGGAAAAGGATGTTACTTTACATAAGTCCAGCACAGTACCCAAATCAGCAAACTTAATATGGGCACAATATTATTATCTAATCCATAGTCCACACTGAGATTTCTTAAATTGTCTCAATAATTTTGTTAATAGCTAGTTTTTGAAAAAATCCAGGATTGTACACTGAGAAATCACATCTCACTAGTCTCTTTTCATCTGGACCAGTTCCTCACCCTTTGTTTTTCTACTTAAACTTGATACTTTTCTGAATTGTATAGGCAAGCTATTTCTCTCAATTTGAGTTTTTCTCATGTGTCTTCATTATTAGAATTAGTCTTCATTATTAGAATTTTTAACACAAATATCACTGAAGTGACAGCATGTCCTGTTCAGAGCATCATCACAGCAGGTTCATGATGTTGGTTTGTGCAAATACAGTTGATCTTAAGATCAATAAAATCACTGGTTATGGTGGTGTCTGACAGGTTTTTCTACTACAAACTTTACTGTTTTTCAGTTTGAAATTAACTAGAAAGTTGTGAGGAGATATTTTAGACTATTTTAGATATTTGTACATATTCTGTTCCCCATCAAATTTTTATCCACTAGTTTTTGCAATCATTTATGTTTTTCTTAACACCGTCACCCCTTCTATATTTGTTAATTAGGGATCTACTGTAAGGAATAGCTTTATCTTCACCATTCATTTATTTATTCTTTTACTTTTTATATCAGTATGAGCTTTATAATTCTTCTTTTGTTAAATTCATTACTACTAATGGTTAAATTGTCCTACAATTAAATGATGGCAAGCCCTTCAAACTGGCTTTTATTTTTTATTCATGTGTGCTGATATTTTTGGATCATTTGTTTACTCGTTTTTTGAGTTTACCTTTCTTTTTTTTCTCTCAGGTAATAGGAAATGAATGATGATGGAAAAGTCAATGCTAGCTCTGAGGGGTACTTTATTTTAGTTGGATTTTCTAATTGGCCTCATCTGGAAGTAGTTATCTTTGTGGTTGTCTTGATCTTCTACTTGATGACACTGATAGGAAACCTGTTCATCATCATCCTGTCATACCTGGACTCCCATCTGCACACACCAATGTACTTCTTCCTTTCAAACCTCTCATTTCTGGATCTCTGCTACACCACCAGCTCTATCCCTCAGTTGCTGGTCAATCTCTGGGGCCCGGAAAAGACCATCTCTTATGCTGGTTGCATGATTCAACTTTACTTTGTTCTCGCACTGGGAACCACAGAGTGTGTCCTACTGGTGGTGATGTCCTATGACCGTTATGCAGCTGTGTGTAGACCTTTGCATTACACTGTCCTCATGCACCCTCGTTTCTGCCACCTGCTGGCTGTGGCTTCTTGGGTAAGTGGTTTTACCAACTCAGCACTTCATTCCTCCTTCACCTTCTGGGTACCTCTGTGTGGACACCGCCAAGTAGATCACTTTTTCTGTGAAGTTCCAGCACTTCTGCGATTATCGTGTGTTGATACCCATGTCAATGAGCTGACCCTCATGATCACAAGCTCCATATTTGTTCTCATACCTCTCATCCTCATTCTCACTTCTTATGGTGCCATCGTCCGAGCTGTACTGAGGATGCAGTCAACCACTGGGCTTCAGAAAGTGTTTGGAACATGTGGAGCTCATCTTATGGCTGTATCTCTCTTTTTCATTCCGGCCATGTGCATATATCTCCAGCCACCATCAGGAAATTCTCAAGATCAAGGCAAGTTCATTGCCCTCTTTTATACTGTTGTCACACCTAGTCTTAACCCTCTAATCTACACCCTCAGAAACAAAGTTGTAAGAGGGGCAGTGAAGAGACTAATGGGGTGGGAATGAGCCTGTGTATGTGTCATATTAACAATATAACAGAGTCTCCCCTCACAATGATTCATCCTTCTATTTATTTATCAACCATTCTTTTATTCACTCACTCTGTTAGCACTTGCTGAGCATGTACTCTAACAAGGTCGTGGAGTTCCTGGTAACAGGTAGGAATAAAACACAGTCAGCCTAAATACCATTCACTTGTGGAGAAAACAGCTATGTAAAATCAAGATAAAACATCTATAGTGATGTTTTTCCATGGTACAAACCTAATGTATCCAAGACAGACATTTCTCGATTGAAAATAAGGCATGAAATTTGTTGTAAATCTTGATAAAAGCGAAGCTGTAAATCCTATGAAAAGATGATACTCTCAATTTAAAAATCTCTACAATATGTCTTTTAATTTCTTGCTTTTTGGGCAGAATACTTTTGTCTTCTATCTTTAGTTTAGTTAAATACACAGCAAAATACTTCAAATCCTTTTCTCCAACAATGCTTATTCTTTGTCGGATAGTAAATTTTGAGAGGAATTTTGGTCCATATTCTTTCATATCCAGTATCAATAGTAGAACAATAAGTTTTATGAATTGTAGTAAGAGAGGCTTTGAAACAGTATAGCAGAAGTCAGCATCTGAGATCCCTCTTTTTTGCAAGGCAGTGAGAAATATATAGGAAGTAAAAGGAGCTGGTAAAGCTGAGCTATGGAGCTTATAAACAAATGGTCATCATAGGCTAGGTATACTTAGGTGAGGTAAGTGCTTGGAGCAACTGCATTACCTAAGGAACTAAGGAAAACATTTGAGGCAAATAGAGAGGCTCTGAAAATGACTTGAAGCCAATGGGTGTATGAAAGAATTATGTGAAAATATATTGGAAAAATTTTATGATAGAAACTGTCATATGGAAAATGATAGCTTATTTTTATTTTAAAGCTTGATCTAATTTGAGTATTTATGGTTAATAAGTATATTATGTATGTCAATATATGTGTTTCAAATAAAGAAATCTATTTTATAGAAGTAATCATTTTGTTTTATATATTATTGTCAACCATCTTCATTTGAAATAATTGCGCTATACCTAGAGCAATTTAAACTGACAGTCATAGTCAAATGAAGCGGAAAAATGGCTAAAGGAGAATTCAGTATAAAGTAACGTACTTGCAATGCCTGAGTTTTCTCTATAACTCAAATGTCAGCTGTAGCTTTTGAGGCCTGTGAGATTTAGATATGATTGATTCACACACTATTTCCTAAATTATTATAAAAATAAAAACGCATCTCAGAACTTCCCTCCAATTTCTAGTGTGACTTGCAATTGCATTGATTCTGCTGACTTTATCTTCCTTCTGCATCTCTGACTCTTCCTTTATTTCTAACTAGGCATGAAAAATATGAGGCATGTGCCCTTGTCCTTAACCTTACCCAAGAAGTGAAGAACCAAGAATAATGTATGTAAAATGACTTTTAGCAAGAATTGGGACCACATACGGTAAAACATCACATAAAAACACATTTTTAAAAACTTAAAGAACATAACTTCGCCCTTTGAACTGTTTTCTACTATGGAAATCTTACGATTTGGAGCACTTACGGTAGCATCCTGGTTTCTCACCTACTCAAATATCCCCCCCCCCCCATCTTTATTAAGGATAAGTGAAAAAAATGTATTTATTTATAATATACAGCATAATGTTTTGACATATGCATAATTATGCAATTATTACTCAAGCTAATTAACAGATCATTAACTCACATACTTACCTGTTTTGTGGTGAGAACATTTAGGATCTATTATCTTAGCAGTTTTCAACTATGCAGTACAGTATTATTAGCTATAGTCACCATACCGTAGAATAGATCTCTTGAATTTGTTCCTTCCATCTGAAACTTTGTACCCTTTGACCAATATCTCCCCATTTTCCCTATTTCTCTCCACTGCTAACCCCTGACAAGCATCTTTCTGCTACTCTGTGCTTCTATGATTCATTTTATGTCGATTTCACATATGAGATCATGCAGTATTTGTTTTTCTGTGCCTGGCTTATTTTACTTAGCAAAATGTCTTCAGGTTTGCCATGTTGTTGAGAATATTAAGACTTCCTTCTTGTTTTCAGGCAGAATAGTATTCTATTATATATATACTACACTTTCTTTATTCACTCATTCATTGACAGACACTTAGATTGATTCAATACCTTGGCTATTATGAATTTGCTGTCATAAAGATGGGTGTATAGATAGCTTTTCAACATAGTGATTTAATTCTTTTGGATATATACCTAGAATATATACAAATGGATCATACGGTAGTTCTATTTTTATTCATTTATTTTTAATTTATATATTTATTTATTTATTTATTTTTTATTTATTTATTTATTTATTTTTATTATACTTTAAGTTTTAGGGTACATGTGCACATTGTGCAGGTTAGTTACATATGTATACATGTGCCATGCTGGTGCGCTGCACCCACTAACTCGTCATCTAGCATTAGGTATATCTCCCAATGCTATCCCTCCCCCCTCCCCCCACCCCACCACAGTCCCCAGAGTGTGATATTCCCCTTCCTGTGTCCATGTGATCTCATTGTTCAATTCCCACCTATGAGTGAGAATACACAGTGTTTGGTTTTTTGTTCTTGCGTTAGTTTACTGAGAATGATGATTTCCAATTTCATCCATGTCCCTACAAAGGACATGAACTCATCATTTTTTATGGCTGCATAGTATTCCATGGTGTATATGTGCCACATTTTCTTAATCCACTCTATCATTGTTGGACATTTGGGTTGGTTCCAAGTCTTTGCTATTGTGAATAATGCTGCAATAAACATACGTGTGCATGTGTCTTTATAGCAGCATGATTTATAGTCCTTTGGGTATATACCCAGTAATGGGATGGCTGGGTCAAATGGTATTTCTAGTTCTAGATCCCTGAGGAATCGCCACACTGACTTCCACAATGGTTGAACTAGTTTACAGTCCCACCAACAGTGTAAAAGTGTTCCTATTTCTCCACATCCTCTCCAGCACCTGTTGTTTCCTGACTTTTTAATGATTGCCATTCTAACTGGTATAAGATGGTATCTCATTGTGGTTTTGATTTGCATTTCTCTGATGGCCAGTGATGATGAGCATTTTATATATTTAATTTAACTTAATTTTTTGAGATGGAGTCTTGCTCTGTTTCCCAAGCTGGAGTGCAGTGGTGGGATCTCTGCTCACTGCAAACTTTGCCTCCCGGGTTCAAGCGATACTCCTGCCTCAGCCTTCTGAATAGCTGGGACTACAGGTGTGTGCCACTGCACCGAGGTAATTTTTGTATTTTTAGTAGATATGCGGTTTCACCATGTTGGCCAGGCTGGTCTCAAACTCCTGACCTCGGATGATCTGCCCACCTCGGCTTCCAAAGTGCTGGGATTACAGTTGTGAGCCACCCTGTTTGGCAATATTTTTAATTTATTTAGGAACCTTCACAGTGGTTTTCCTCATGGCTGTCCTAATTTACATTTCCAAAAACAGTGTATAAGGATTCCCTTTTCTGCATATTCTTCTCAACATCTGTTATCCTTTGTCTTTTTTCATAATAGACATTCTAACTGATGTAAGGTATGAGGTGATATCTACTGGTGCGGGCCTGGACTTTAGGTCCACTGGAGCCTAGAGCAGTGGGGACCATCCCCCTGAAGCCTGGAGCTGGTGTGGTGCTAGAGTGGAACTTACTGCCTTGGGGGCTGGTCTGGAGTCCGGGTTTATGGGGCCCAGCTTATATGTACTGGTCTGGAGGCTAGATCCTTGGGTACTGGCATGGGTCTTGGGGCTACAGAGTCTGACCTGGGGGGCCAACTGGCACTGGAAAGTCCTATTTTGCCATTTTATTGATACCACTTCTCACTATCTAAATTCTTTTTTTTTCTTTTTAACTTTCTGTGCTCTTTTCTCCTTTTTCTCTTACAAAACATATACATTTTCTTTTATATGTATAGACTTTTCATTTTCTTTTGGGAGGTTATAATTATAGTATATCTAATGTTGAATCCTAGCCATATTAGCCTGTGCTGTGTAATTTGTAATCTGAGAAATAGATCAGTTACCAAAAATTCCACCAAAGATTAACACTGGTATTACTGTTTTTATTGTTTTGTACTTTTCAAACCAGTCGAACAGACTTTATGCAGTATTATCACAGATAGGACAACAGGAATGAGTTTTCTCACTTTATCAAACTGAAGGGAAGAAAATAGGTGGCTTGTATAACTTCTGGCAACTTGTATGTGAAAAAATCAGGGTAAGGACAATACATTTTTAGCTCTGACAACCCATTCCTATGTCAACAACACTGAAGGCAAAATAGAAGCCCTGAGATGCTCCCCTTGTCAGCCCTAAACCTTATGAAAACATTTGTGAACTGGGATTTCCAAAGCACACATGAATTTGTATGGCAAGCAACTTTACTGAAGAACTAACAGTGAAGCCAGCTTTTTCCCAGATAGGAATGAAGGCTAACCTCATGGAAGCATCAGCTTCTTTTGCCCTGTAAATTTCTCCTCCCCATTCAGACAGATGTCTCCCAGTCTTTGTCCACTGTATCTTATACTTGTTGCTGTGCAGCATATTCTTATATACATACTCAATTATCTTTTCTTATTTTAACTCTGCAGTACAGAATTGTTGGCACAAATATGTCATCCAGGTAATCACAGAAAGTAGCTCTGGCTTCCAGCCTAGGTACACTCCGTCTGTATTCTGCTATGTAGCTCAGGTTCATATCTCCTATTTTACATATGTGAGGCTGGAAAGGTGATTAGTGATCATATATTATGAAAACACTACATGATTTCAAACATAAGTTTCAAATACAAGTGATTATATACCAAGTATCATCCAACAATCACAAAAAAACTCATGGAAAAGTTATAAAAATAGTAGAAAGACTTACCATTGAGCTTCACCAGATTTAAAAAATCTTAGCATTTCAACATGTATGGTTTATCATTCTCACTTTATACTAATGTTAATATGCATTTAAATTTTTTTTCTAAACTATTACGCTGTAATGCACATGTTCCCCTAGGTTGTCACAAGAATATTTCCTAAAAAAGTATCTAATCCAGGATCATAAGGTGGCAGTGTGATGTCTCTTTTTTCTCTTTAATTGGGAACCATTCCTCAGTCTGTCTGTCTCTTCAATGCACCTTATAGTTTTGAAGAGTGCAGGCCGGCCATTTACTTTAACAAAATAATTGTTTTTAACAAATAAGGGGGATTTATTGCTTATAAAACCAAAAAGTTCAGCAGTAGTGTGGGCTTCAGGTATAGCTTGATCAGTGCTCTGGATCAATATCTCTGCAGTTTCCTCAGCTATGTCCTCTTCCATGTATTGGATTTGTCATCAAGTTGATTCCCCTCACAATCACGAAACATTGTCAGCAATAATCAGGCCTATATGCTTCCTTGTTCACATTCAAGAGGTTGAATATCATCCTATAATCAATGAACAAAAATGGCTCTTTATACAGAGCTTCATACTGACGCATAAGTTGTCTGCACATTCCTGGCAACATGTTTGGGACAAGGGGCGAAAATGCAATGATTGGCTGAGATTAATTGGGGGCCACTTCTGAAGCCAGGTTTTCAGTGAAAGGGCCATATATGCAAAGCTATCTCTCAAATGCACAAAGAGCAGATAAATCAAAGAAGGAGGCAGACAAATCTAGCTTGTTGGTTTGGGGTGATTTACTAAAGGAATTTACAGACATATATGTTGTCTTGGGTGGCCACAACATAGTTAGATTTTGCACTGCAGTCCTCCAGATCTAGGGCTTATCTTTTGAGGAAAGTATACTTGCTCTGAAAGAAACATGTAGGTAGCTACAGGTGCCATGGACTATGCTTCCTACAACAGCGTCAAGGGTTGTTTTGGAGGAAACTTACAGTGAATACATGTTCCTACATAAAGAGTAATATATCAACTTAACATCTTATAGGGACTCAGGGTTATTCAGAAGTTACACGGCAGATTAGCATTTAAAATAAAGTCACTCTTGCTCCTGCACTGGGGGTGGGGTTAATTTCATCCAAAGCACATGCTACACAGTGTAGGTGAGATGGGATAACTATTGGGAGGCAACAGTAATATCATAGTCTCTATTGTCTGCATGAGAAAACTGACCACAACAGAGCTAGTAAGTGATGAAGCTTGGATTCAAATGTGGGCTTTCTAACTTCACAGTTTGTTCTTAATCACTAGGCAATTGTTCCTCCCTATAGACATCTGAACTCTTTAAAACAAGAAGGTGAGGATTCAGTATGTACATTTCTTGGCTCTTTGCAACTTGTCATGGGAAGGTCTTCATTTTCTCCTATTCTTTGTTTTAACACCTAATATTTGAACCACACTGAATTTATCTTACTCTCTTACTGTCCTGAGGATGTTCACAAGAACTTTTCCTTCAAGGTTAAAATGTGTCACTTATACCTCAACCAAACATTTCATATTTGCAGCAATTATGCTTATTCACATAAGGTTGTAAATTCCTCAAGGCTCAACCAATGGCTGAGAAGTGTTTTGGGCCACTGTACCTTTAACAGGCCATTGGTGCATGAAGAACATCAGCGACAATGTCATTCTCCTAGACCACTGGGCAGTATCTGCCATATGTAGGCCAGTCGTTATTTTTTATTACCATTATTACTAATTTTTACTATTATTACTATAGTGGTTTCCAAATAATGATTCTTAAAGTTCCATCATTCCTTCTAAACTTATTAGTTTGTGTGGTAGGCTAAATACTTCCTCTCCTTGTCGCAAATGATCACACCCTAACCTCTGGGACTTGTTATTATATGTTACTTTACATGGCAAAAGGATTTTTATAGATGTGATTAAATTCAGAACCTTGAGTTGGGATTATTATCCTGAATTAGCCAGGTGGGCTGACATAGTCATATGTGTTCATATAAGAGGGAGGCCAGAGGTCAGAGAGAAGATAGTCTGCTGCTGACTTTAAAGAAACAGGAATGGGCCATGAGCCAAGGAAAACAGGTTGCTTCTAGAAGCTGGAGTAGTTGAGAAAACAGATTCTCTCTGAAAGCCTACAGAAGAAATGCAGCCCTGTAGACCCAATTTAGTATTCCTATCTCCAGATACATGATATTTTTGTTATTTTAAACACCAAATTTGTAGTAATTTGTTATAGCAACAATGGAAAACTAATAGAGTTGGCATTCTATATGAAGGAATAGCTTTCCTTTTTCCTGTGTGTGTGTGTGTGTGTACGTGTGGGTATCAGGTATTATTTATCTATGTGTCTACCTATATATCATAATATGGTCTTATGCATTATTATTTCATTCTGTCATTATTTTGATGCTGAAATGGTCACTGTTTTGGCTAGAGAGGACCCCTTCCAGTTGGCTCATATATCTTTTTTATATGTCTCCATACTTCTTAAGGCCAAGATGGGCAGATCACAAGGTCAGGAGGTCCACACCATCCTGGCTAACACGGTGAAACCCCATCTCTATTAAAAATACAAAAAAATTAGCTGGGCGTGTTGGCGGGCGCCTGTAGTCCCAGCTACTCGGGAGGCTAAGGCAGGAGAATGGTGTGAACCCGGGAGGCGGAGCTTGGTGCCACTGCACTCCAGCCTGGGCAACAGAGCGAGACTCCGTCTCAAAAAAAAAAAAAAGAATTTCTTACTGTTGGCAAACTGAGACGATCTTAACATATCTGACACTTTTCTTTGGGAGGAATAGATAACTTTGTTTATCTTAGGTCAAATGACAAAAACTTTGAATAAAGTACTGGGGTTTCCTAATGAACAATTCACTAGAAATGCATGGAATAGATAACACCAAGGCATGGTAATATTGTTGACAAATATTTATTTAGTTATAACATCACATTTCTTTACCCACTCAGGAAATGGAAAGTTTTTGTATTGTGCTTGAGAGTGAGGCAATGGTGAAGAACAGTGACTGGCTATGGGTTTGGGGAGTCATTTGGCAGGAGTGTAAATCCTTGAAATTTGAAAATCTTTCAAATTATCTTGATTCTCCTCAACAAAATACTAGCAAACCAAATCGAACAGCACATAAAAACCTAATTTCTTAGCTTTTTGATGAAATAGCTGTTTCCTCACCTTTTCTATCGTCTAGAGGTAACCTACATTCCTTGGCTCATGGCCCATTCCTCTATATTTAAAGTCAGCAGTGGAGTATCTTCCCTTTGACTTCTGGCCTCCCTCTTATATGGACACGTGTGATTGTGTCAGCTCACTTGCCTAATCCAGGATAATATCCCCATCTCAAGATTCTGAATTTCATCACATCTATAAAGTCCTTTTGCCATGTAAAGTAACGTATAATCACAGGCTCCACAGATTAGGGTGTGATCATTTGCATCCCAGGGAAAAAGCCTACCATGATCCCTTGTGTCCCAGGGATAAAGCCCACGATGATCAAGTAGGCTTTATCCCTGATAGGAAAGGTTGGTTCAACATATGCAAATCAATACATGTGATTCATCACATAAACAGAAATGAAAACAAAAACCACATGATTATCTCAATACACGCAGAAAAGGCTTTCAATAAAATTCAACATCCCTTCATGTTAAAAACCCTCAATTAACTAGGCATTGAAGGAACATACTTCAAAACAATAAGAGCAATCTGTAAAAAACCCACAGCCAACATCATACTGAATGGGCAAAAGCTGGAAGCATTCCCCTTGAAAACTGGCACAAGACATGGATGCCCTCTCTCACCACTCCTATTCAACATAGTACTGGAAGTCCTGGCCAGAGCAATCAGGCAAGAGAAAGAAATGAAAGGCATCCAAATAGAAAGAGAAGAAGTTAAACTATTCTTGGTAGCAAAAGACATGATTCTGTATAAAGAAAACCCCATAATCTTGGTCCAAAAGCTCCTTGATCTGATAAACAACTTTAGATAAGTTTCAGGATATAAAATAAATGTACAAAAATTTAGCATTCCCATACATCAACAACATCTAAGCTGAGGCCTAAATCAGGAATGCAATCCCATTCACAACTGCCACAAAAAGAATAAAATACCTAGAAATACTGCTAACCTAAAAGGTAAAACATCTCTACAATGACAATTACAAAACACTGCTAAAAGAAATCAGAAGTGACACAAGGAAATGGAAAAAACATCCCATGCTGATGGATACTAAGAATCAGTATCATTACAATGACCATACCGTCCAAAGCAATTTATAGATTCAATGCAATTTGCTATCAAACTACCAATGACATTGTTCACAGCATTAGAAAAAAACTATTTTAGAATTTGTATGGAATTAAAAAAGAGCCCTAATAGCCAAGGCAATCCTAAGAAAAAAGAACAAAGTTAGAGGCATCACCTTACTCAAATGATACCAGAGGGCTACAGTATCCAGAACAGCATGATACCGGTACAAAAACAGATATATACACCAATGGAATAGAATAGAGAACCCAGAAATAATGCCACACATCTACAAATATCTGATCTTCAACAAAGCTGACAAAAACAAGCAATGGGGAAAGGACTCCCCATTTTATAAAGGGTGCTGAGATAAGTGACTAGCTCCATGCAGAAGATTGAGACTGGATGCCAAACTTGCACCACATACAAAAATCAACTCAAGATGAATTAAAGACTTAAATGTAAAAATGAAAACTGTTAATATAAAAACTCTGAAGATAACCTAGGAAATATCATTCTGGACATAGGACTTGGCCAAGATTTCATGCCGAAGATGCCAAAAGCAATTGCAACAAAAACAAAAATTGACAAATGAGGCCTATTTAAACTAAAGAACTTCTCACAGTAAAAGAAACTATCAACAGTGGAAACAGACAGTCTACAAAATGAGAGAAAATATCTGCATACAATGCATTTGACAAAGGTCTAATATCTGGCATCTAGAAAGAACTTAAACAAATTTATAAGAAAGAAACAATGCCGTTTAAAAGTCAGCAAAAGACATAAACAGACACTTTCCAAAAGAAGATACACATGCGGCCAAGCATATGAAAAAATGCTCAATATCATTAATCATTAGAGAAATGCAAATCAAAACCGCAATGAGATACCATCTCGTACCAGGTGGAATGGCTATTATCAAAAAGTCAAATTATTAATAACAGATACATCAAGGCTATGGAGAAAAGGGAATGCTTATACACTGCTGGTGGGAATGTAAATTACCTTAGCTATTGTGGAAAATGGTGTAATGATTCCTCCAAGAACTTAAAACAGAACTACTCTTCCACCAAGCAATCCCATTAGCGGGTATATACCCAAAGGAATATAAATCATTCTACCATAAAGACATATGCACGAGTATGTTCATTGCAGCACTGTTCACAACAGCAAATACATGAAATCAACCTAAATGCCCATCAACAGTAGATTGGGTAAAGAAAATGTGGTACATAGACCCCATGGAATACTATGCAGTCATAAAAAGAATGAGGTCATTTCCTTTGCAGCACCATGGATGGAGCTGCAGGCCATCATCCTAAGCAAACTAAATGGAAAAGAGCCAAATACCACATGTTCTCACTTATAAGTGGGAGCTAAACATAAGAACACATGGATACTAGAAGGTGAACCACATGCACTGGGGTCTACTTGACGGTGGAGGGTGGGAGGAGGAAGAAGATCAGAAAAAATACCTATTGAGTACTATGCTTATTACCTGGATGATGAAATTATCTGTACTCCAAACCCCTGTGATGCGCAGTTTACCTGTATAACAAACCTGCACATATACCCATGAACCTAAAATAAAAGTTAAAAAAACCTAAACCCCAAATTACCTTCAACCTTCATGAGTTTTTACATTTGAAAGTTAAATCGATAACTTAATGACAATAATTCAACTCTCTCATGCTTATCCCCCTCATCTAACCCAAAACAAAACAAGATTGGATACTGAGGTGAGGAACCTTTGAATTTTTAAATAGTATTAGGTCTAGCAGAACCTCAGAAAGACACGTTTACATTAAGAGGACTTTGACTATTGATATGGGCATGTAAGTTCTTTACTGCCACGTTCCTAGTAATTCCTGAATTGCACATGTATGAAATGACATTAATTCTCTCATACTTTAGGGTTGCTTGTCAGTGCCTAGAAGGAATACAGTCTCTGTGGCCAGTCTTCCTGGATCAACAAGAGCCTTGTAGTTTCCCATTTTTCATGTGCTAATAGTGAAAATGTTTAGAAAGCCCCATCTATCCTCCCACATTGGCATCCCACTGATGTGCTGTCCTGGTTGCTAGGTGCAGATTTAGGTTCCAAGCAGAACACTGCTAGTGTTCTCTGCAGTTTGTTGTAGAATCATAGTGTCTTGGCAACCAAAGGCAGATCTGGTGTTATGGAGGACCTGCTTACTGCTATGAGGTGTTACTTTATAGAGGTCCTGGAGAAGCTGATTGAGGCCACGTCAATGTTGCAAGGAGACATGAGACTCACATCAGAGTTCTATGGCTTAACATGGGGGATGGTGGTAAGTGCGGCTCTATTTGGATTTTGTAATTATAAAAGCCCACTTTATGTAGAGAGAAAAAAAAGAGTTTACCAGAGAAGTTTCTTCTGTAGTTGAAGACAAATGTAATGTTTTAATAAATTAGGCTGATTAAAAAAGAATATGAGTTTGGCGTGCTGGCTCATGCCTGTAATCCCAGAACTTTGGGAGGCAGAGGCGGGTGGATCACCTGAGGTCAGGAGTTTGAGACCAGCCTGGCCAACACGGTGAAACCCCATCTTTACTAAAAATACAAAAAATTAGCCGGGCTTGGGGGTGTGTTCCTGTAATCCCAGCTACTTGGGAGGTGAGGCAGGAGAATCGCTTGAACTTGGAGGCAGAAGTTGCAGTGAGCCGAGATAGTGCAATTGCACTCCAGCCTGGGCAACAAGAGCAAAACTTTGCCTCTTGAAAAAAAAAAAAAAGTGTATGAAAAGGTAAATTATTTTTCATGGAGTCCTGCCCTGAGAACAAGGCATCAAATCCTCTAAGTGTATAGGAAATTTGAGTTCAAAATAGATGCTTTGAAAAAAATAAAGAAAATGTTTTTGAAAAATGCAAATTTTAACAGATTTAGGGTATAGAAGTGCAGTTGTGTTCCATGGATATATTTACATAGTGAAGTCTGAGATTTCAGTGTATCCATCATCCAAATAGGATACATTGTCCTCAATAGGTAGTCTTTCATCCCTCAACCCTTTCCCAACTTCCCACCTTTTGGAGTCTCCAATGTCATTATTTCATTCTGTATCCACATGTACCCATTGTTTAGCTCCCACTTATAATTGATAATATCTAGCATTTGGCTTTCTGTTTTTGAGTTATTTCACTTAAGCCAATGGCCTCCAGTTCCATCCAAGTTGTTATAAAAGACATGACTTCAGTCTTTTTATGGGGAAGTAGTATCACATTTTAGAAATCCAATAGTCCATTGATGGACACTCAGGTTGATTCTATTACTTTGCTATTGTGAATAGTGCTGCGATATACATAGACATGCAGGTTTCTTTCTGATATAATGATTTACCTTTAGGTTGATATCCAATAATGGGATTGCTGGGTCAAATGGTAGTTCCATTTTTAGTTCTTTGAAAAGTCTCCATACTGTTTTCCACAGGGCTTGTACTAATTTACATTCCCACCAACAGTGTATGTATTCTTTTTTTCTCTATACCCTTGGCAAAATTTGTTTTTTTTTTTTTTGTCTTGATTTTTTTAATCATGGCCATTTTGAATGGCATAAGGTAATATCTCATTGTGGTTTTAACTTGCAATTCTCTTATGATTAACATTTGTTCATATGTTTATTGGCCATTTATATGTGATCTTTGGAAAAAAAAAGAACATCTTAAAGTTCAGAATGGGGCCAGGTGCAGTGGCTCATGTTTGTAATCCCAGCACTTTGGGAGGCCGAGACAGGTGGATCACAAGGTCAGGAGTTCAAGACCATCCTGGCTAACACGGTGAAACCCCGTCTCTACTAAAAATAGAAAAAATTAGCCGGGCGTGGTGGGGGGTGCCTGTAGTCCCAGCTACTCGGCAGGCTGAGGCAGGAGAATCGCTTGAACCTGGGAGGCAGAGGTTGCAGTGAGCCGAGATTGCATCACTGCACTCCAGCCTGGGTGACAGAGCGAGACTCCGTCTAAGAAAACAAAACAAAACAAAACAAAACAAAAAACTTCAGAATGTATTACATTCATGGCTAGGTTTAGAATATGGGTTGAGTCACTGGAAGATGTGTTGAATGAAGTCTTTTAAATAGTGAGAACCTGATGCCAAAATGACCTTAAAACTATGTCAAAAGAGAAAAACCCCACTTAAGACAGCAATAAAATAGGGTTTGGATGAGCATTTCAATCTTGAGGAAAACCTAACCTGTTTGCAAAATAAGCCTAAGGATTGGATGACAAGTTTACCACTGGGCAAAAAGATATTTATATCCTTGGATTAAGTGCTAAATGATAAGAAATCAAACCAAATATTTGAGTGAACAATTGATGAATATTCACTACTATACTTGGAGAAGATAAAATGGATGTTGGGACTTAGAACTAGATCAAATCAGAATGAGTATCGATCAATGTTCAGTCAAAGGGGGTTGGAGGAAATTTGTTTATGCTTCTTAAAACGCTTTTTTTTTTCTTTTTTGAGACGGAGTCTTGCTCTGTTGCCCAGGATGGAGTGCAGTGGTGCCATCTCGACTACTGCAACCCCCATCTCCCGGTTTCAAGTGGTTCTCCTACCTCAGCATCCTGAGTAGCTGGGATTACAGGCATGCACCACCACTTCTGGCTAACTTTTGTATTTTTAGTAGAGACAGGGTTTCACCATGTTGCCAAGGCTGGTCTCGAATTCCTGACCTCAAGTAATCCTCCCAATTTGGCCTCCCAAAGTGCTGGGATTACAGGCATAAGCCACCGTGCCTGGCCTCTTAAAAGACTCTTCACGGACAGAGAAATAAAATATAAATTAGGTTATATGAAAAACATTGAATCGTGAAGCCTTTAAAAATCACACTGAACATATTCAGCATGAATTAAGCATTTTTCTAGCACGAAAATGTAGCTTGAAAGTAAGTAAGGTTCAGAACATTTAGCCAAATGTTTAAGTAATTTCTAAACTGTATTGAGAAAATGGAATAGTTTCATGGATTATATGTATTAGAAAAAGTTAATTAGAAAGTTTTCAAATACACATTAAGTGATAGATACAGAAAAAAAAAACAAAATTCTTAGAGAAAAAATGAAAAAACTGACCTGTTCTTATCAAAGACATGATTTCCCATATTTAAAAAAGCTTGTAATAATTGATTTACAATTAAGTTGACTGAAGAAAATCTCACTGATTTAAGAAAATCTATATGAAAGTCCAGATGCCAGTATTTTTTCCTATAAAAATCTTCATAGTCAATATTAAGGCTTTGTAAATTGAGATACAAAATTGAAGTATTATGAAAGTACTCATGTAACAAGATTGAAAATAAATTCTCACAAATTCCTTTGTCACTAAAACAAAAGCACTGAAAATTTATGCTAGCAAGAATGCAAAGTGAGGGAAACTCTCTTTGATTGCTGGAAGAAATGCAAAGTGGTGCAACTAATTTGACCATTTGGCAATTTTTATAAAGTTTAATATAGTCTTGCCATATGACTTAACAATCACATTCCTAAGTATTTACACCAGTGAATTAAATCTTATGTCCATGTAAAAATTTGCATGCAAGTATTTATATCAGTGTTATTCATAATTACTCAAAACTGTAAGCAACCCATGCCCTTCAATAGGGGAAAAATAATCTTGGGTATTTCCATACAATGATCTATGATTTTGTGGAAATTGATTGATGAATGAATACTATTGATCAAAGGGATGGAATGAGCTACTGATACATGCAACAACATGAATATTTGTTAAGTGTATTTCACTAAATGAATGAAGCCAGACTTCAAAGTCTGAATATTGTATGAGTTCATTCATAAGACATCTGGAAAAAGAAAACCTGTTGGGATGGAAACACACCAGTGTTATCCAGGGCTTAGTGTAGGGGAGATTAGTTGATTACAAAGAATACACGCAGGGGACATTTTAAATGATAGAGTTGTCTTGTATGGTGCTGCACTAGTAATATGCAAGTCTATGATTTATTAATCCCCAAGAAGTGTATCACAAAATTGCACTCAAATGCATGCAAATAAACAAGCAAAAGTTTCACCAAGATGCAGGAAGATCCTAGAATGGTATGCAGACAGTGACAAATCAATCTCACGTTATATAAATGTGTAAGCTAACGACCCTGAAAAGGGTAGAGAAGAAGTAAATACTGACTTTGGTTATTTTGAGAAATAATATTTTGATTAAAAAATGTCAGGCTAAAGAGAAAAGTAACTGTGCATAAGTACTGTATTCTAAATGGTAATTTTTTTCTCATGTGGGTACAGCTAATTTTGTAATTGCTTCACAAGCATACTAGTGTTGAACAAAAATGTTAAAAGATGAACAGTGGCATCCAGGTTTCTCACTGTTGGTATGAGAAGTTATAGGTAAACAAGAAAGGAAGGCCAGAATGATCATGAGGGACTGTGCTAGAGTCAGAGTTACACTGTGACATCATGTTTAAACACAAGCACGAATACACACGGACACACACATAGATGGACAAATATAGAAGCAATGACAGATATGTGTGTATTCAGGGCTTACTGTGTGAACACACATTACCTAGCCCTTTCTGCTGAAATAATCTAGAAACAAAGTTACCCTCACAGCAGTGTGTGCATGTCTGCCATGTCCAGTGAAAAGAACCAGAGATCCTTGGGGAAATGTCTGATTCTAAGATATTTCTAAGGCTGGTGAAAAAATATATAAGATAAGCCTGGAGGAGAAGGACCAGTAATACCAGAAATCAAGGAGGGGCCTTGAAGAGAAAAGGATAGCAAAAGGATGAAGACCTGTCCAAGACCCAGCAGCCAGCATGAAAGAGCTCTCAATGGGGAAAGCTGGAACAATTTCAACAACAAAATAAATAACATATCACTGGATTATAATCTGAAGTATAAAAAGTATGAGTCCATACTGTTAAATGATTGAATAAATACATAAATGGAGAAGAAGAGAGAAATCTTCCTTACTGATCTATTAATAGTCTCCACTTTTGGGGGTGGAGCTCGTGATCTCCTTCATTAAGTATAGGCTGGATTCAGTGACTGTCTTCCAAGGAATAGAGTATGGAAAGGTAACAATTGTAAGTTTAAGTTTTATTTAGTGCAAACACTACCTTAAGCAAGTGATTAAAGTCAGCACCATCAGTAATGCCATGTAGATATTATGTAACCCCTGCTCTGATGGGATAAAAAGGGCACTTTACCTCTGTGGTCACCTCTTCAAAAATTCAAAGGCCCAGTGTAATTGATGGCAGCTGTGGCCTGTGTGCAGTGGCTGCTGCCATGACGTTGGCTGCAGTGGGAGAGGTGCGGGTGGGGCTGTGCACTCGATGGAGCCCGAAGGAGCTGGGAACAGGCAAAAGCCCCCACCCCTTATGAGTTGGCAGGCAGGTGCCTTGTGCTCCCCAGGCTCAGTTGCAGCTGCCCAGCTGTGGCTGCAGACCCGGGTATCCCTGTGCTCTTGGGGTCCGGGAGCAGGCAGAAACCTCACCCTCCCGGGTGCAGCTGCAGCTGCTCAAGATGTGGCTACAAACCTGGGCATCCCTGTTCTCTTGGGTGCCAGGAGCCCTGCCCTTCTGGGTGCAGTTGCAGGTGTGCAAGCTGTGGCTGTGGATCTGGGCATCTCCACACTTTTGGGGACCCGGGAAAGAACCCTTGCCCCCGTGCAGACTCGGAGGTGCCTGCTCCTGCTGCCTGGCCTCTGCCTGCTCCTGGCACCAGCTCTGATCTCGGAGCGGAGTTGAGGCTGAGCCCTGGGGCTTTTGCAACCTGGCCTGGTGTGTGCATGCTTGGGGCATTGCTGACACACCAGCATCCTGCTGCCTGAGCCCCGCTCTGGACTTTGGGCACCAGTAAGCAAGGAAGGGAGGCTGGGGAGGTGCTGAAGGCAGCTTGGCCCTGGCCTGCAGGTGACCCTCGGCAGGAACAGCCTGGGTGCCATGAACAGTGGCAGGAGGCAGACAGGCTCCTGGACAGAGAGGGATGGGTCCCCAGTGAGGCCCCACCTTCAACCCAGGGAAGGCTTGAAGCCTGAGAGCCGGGCTGCCAGCCTCGCAGACTGGAGTGGGAATTTATGATGCTTTTTCTGGGCCTGCACATGGTTGCCCAAGGGCCAATCAGCACCTACTTCCTCTACTCTGAAGCCCATAAAAACTCCCGGACTCAGCCAGATTGAAAAAGATGACAAGACAACCAGCTGCAGAGAGGAGGTACCCACCCTAGGGTCTCCTCTCTGCTGAGAGCTGAAAAGGCAATGGTACGGCCAGCTGTGAAAGGAGCTATCCACCTCAGGGTCTCCTCTCTGCTGAGAGTTGAACACTGGTCAGGACACCCTGGCTGTGGAGAGGAGCTACCCTCTATGTGTCTCCTCTGAGCTGTTCTGTTGCTCAGAAAAGCTCCTTTTCACCTAACTCACCCTCCACTTTCTGCATATCTCATTCTTCCTGGGTGCAGGACAAGAACTTGGGACCCACCGAATGGCATGGCTGAAAGAGCAGTCACACAAACAGGGCTAAAACATACCCTTTCCTCACTCACCACATTGCAGGCGACAAAAAGGAGTGAAGAACTGCTGCCCTTCGGGGAGCCCAGACCTAAGAGCTCCCTGAGTCAGGGCTGTGACAGCCTCTTTGGCTCTGTGGTTCCTGGTGTCTCTTAGCTTCTGGGCACCACTGCATTCTGCAGCATCAGCCATGGAAGCTGCTTGCAGTACACCTGCTCCAGCTGCAGCCTTGCAGGGAGCTGGTGCCTGTGTTGGTGCCTGGAACTGCCTGCCCTGCCACAGCAAGCATGCCTGGCTGTGTGCAGTAGGTGGACCCCACACTTTCTCGCTCATACACGCCTCGCTGCTCTGCTTGCCCTTGGCAGGTATGGGATCCAGGCTGGTATTGTGAGCTGAGCACAGCCTGCTAGGCTGAGTGGGCCAGTGGGCCTGAGGAAAACTTGGGCATAGGTGCCACTAGGGACAGAGGTTTTCGCTGGTGAAGTGATACCCCAAGGATCCCATAACATAATCATGAGAAAACATCGGACAAACCATGATTGAAGTGCATTTTATAACATACCTGAGCAGTACTCAAAATTATCAATATCAAGAAAAACAAGGAAACAGATTCAGGAAACTGAAACATGACAACTAAATGCAATGGGGTGTTCTGGATTGAATTTTGCAACAAAAAAAGAACATTAAAGAAAATCCTGCTGAAATCCAAAGATAGTCTGGAGTTTCAGTGATAGTAACATACCAATGTTAGTTTCCTAATTTTGAAAAATAAACCAGAGAAATGTAACATTAAGGGAAAGTGAAACTGGGTAAGGGGTATTTGGGAATTCTCCATGCCATCTTTGCAACTTTTCTGTAAAGCTAAAATTATGTCAAAATAAAGCATGTATGAAAAATGTATTACACAGATGGGAAGGAACAAGATGTCCAACTAGATGCAGCCAGGAAGCACCGCTTTCACTGAGAGAGACCAAATTATCGAGTAAATCAACATAAATTGGACAGATCTTAGGAAAGAAAATGCTGAGCGTGAAGAGGCAAAGCTAAAGCTGAGGCTGTAGAGACAGAAAGCTGGGGACCCTGCTGTTGGGATGGCTTCTGGGAAATTGGCGAATGAGGGAACTGAGGGAATGCTCACTCTTGTCATGGACCTCTGGGATCCTAGCTACAAGAGACTGAATGCCCCCCATAAAGGTGTTAGCTGACAGGGGGATCTCCCTGGCGAAGGTTAACACCGCTTCCTCAACCCCTTCACACACAGACACTTACAGATCACGTAAATGGAAACTCTTCAGGGGATGAGGGAGAATGCAACTCTCTGAGTGTCTTGGTATCAGCAACAGCACAGGTTAGTAATAAGCCCTGAGGCAGGGAAAGTGATCTCATATCAGGAGTAATTGAATGTGAATCATGGGGAAAATTGAGAGATGTATTGGGATCAAGTGGTACTTCAGTTTTCCCCTTAGCCAAAATACATCCCAGAACTTTCTAAATCAACTAGTGCAATGAACTATACTGAATTTTTATTCATGACTTCATTACACTACTAAAAGATAAAGTCTCTACTCCGGCTTCTAGGTTAATAGTAGCAAAGTATAATATGCCTATTTAAAATGGTCCTATTACCTAAAAAAGTTGATCTCATGGAAGTAGAGAGTAGAAGAGTGGTTACTAGAGGAGCTGGATAGGGTAGGGTGAAGAGGGGAATGAGGAGAGTATGATCAATAGGTACAAAGTTAGAGTTAGCATGAATAAGTTGTAGTGTTTCACTGTACCATAGCGTGACTGTTGTTAACAATAATATACCGTATATTTCAAAATAGGTAGAAAAGAGGATTTTGAATGATCTCGTCACAAAGAATTGATAAATGTTCAAGGAGATGAATATGCTAATTACCCTAATTTGGTCTCTATACATTGTATATCTATATCAAAACATCATATCTCATAAGCATGTACAATTATATGTGAACTAAAAGGAAAATGGAACTAAATAAAGTAAAATAAAATGGTCCTGCAACATTTTAGCCAGAAAGAAAGGAAAACATATTTTAGGCAGAAGGACAGTGGAAAAGAGAAGACAATATTTGATGTTTAATTTTCACAGTTAATGCAAAACAAAAGCGATAGAACAAAAGTTTATGCCATTTTCACCAATAGAACCATTTTGGAATAGGATCATAAAAAATCAGGTTATAAATTACTGCTAATAATAGCTGACAATTGACTACAGCCAAATAATGAGTTCAAAAGCATTTTATCATGTTCCATTTTCAGATTTTTTAGATAGTAATTAAAACAATGAATAATTTAGTAGCAACTTTATGTTAAAGGCATAGTTAAATGCATAGATAGAACTATTCACAGGAGTTTCACAGACAATAGACCATGTGTCAGTCCTTTATTATAAATATTTTAAAAGGAATGCATCTCAAATTTTTTCCTTCAGCCATAAAATCTTTGTTTCAAGTGAGATGTTTGTTAAAGTACTTGGTATACCGACTGTCATTTAAAAATCTAAAGACATTTTTTTCAGATAGTTTTCTCAAATAGAAAAGACAACCTGGCCATTTCTTGCCAATTATGAATTTTAAAATACAGTCTTAATTATAATATGATATAATGTTCATACTAAGAATTGTGCTCATGCAAATTGAACGTATTAATCAGAAAATAATTTATGTTAACATATTCCTTAGTTCATATAGAAAAGCCACATAATACCTATATACTAACAAAGCTATTGATGTACATAGATGACCAGTCAAAATTACTTATTAATAGCCTTATAATGTGACTTGTCAGATGTGCCCATTTGCCTAAGAGTCACATAGTGAATTCAGATTCAGTCATTAGTTGGTACTCTTTCTAGCAAAATAGCTTCTATGGATTCAAGAAAGAAATGATTAGAGGATTTGCTGCACTTAAGAATTTGAGATCTGAGATAATGAATCCCCTGAGATAGAAGAAGATGATGTCCCCATGGTGCAGTTAACTCTACTGTTTGCTCAGTGGAAGGATATTGGAATCATAGCAAGGGGAGAAATTCCAGAAGCAAATTTTAAAGCAGTTTCTCTGCAAAAACATTTGAATCCTCTCTATTGCCCACTGAGCCCTGCCTCCTCACTATCCTAATGCAGACAGCATATCACATATCACATATATTAAAACAACCTTAAGTTGGACACTTATCAGTGTTTCTTATAAATACTATTATTTTACTTTGAAGAGTTTTTCTGGGGAAAGGGGATTACAGACTCTAAGACTTAGAAGTGTCTGCAGAAACTACTGTTGTCCACTTCCCAATATTAATTCTTGTTAAAATGTATATTATATATCATACTAAGTATGGTATGCATAAACCCTTTATCTTAATATAACATCATGTTAAATTGTTGGATATCTTTAATGTCTCCAAAAAAGAAATGCTAAAATTTCATTTAGATTTATCCTTTATAAATAAAATTTTTGATAACAATTAATTCTCTTTTTGCAAGTAATGTCTTTTTTTTTTTTTTTTTTTTTTGAGATGGGAGTCTCACTCTGTTGCCCAGGCTGGAGTGCAGTGGCACAATCTCCACTCACTTTAACCTGTGCCTCCCAGGTTGAAACCATTCTTGTGCCTTAGCCTCTCAAGTAGCTGGGACCACAGGCACATGCCAACACACCTGGCTAATTTTTATAATTTTAGTAGAGATGGGGTTTCACCATGTTGGCCAAGCTGGTCTTGAACTCCTGACCTCAGGTGGTCTGCTCATTTTGGCCTCCAAAAATTCTGGGATTATAGGCGTGGGCCACTGCTCCCGGCCAACTGATGTCTATTTCTTCTTGTAGATAATTAGTAACATCTTCCGCGGAATTTGACTTCAGTTTTTCTAGAGTCCTTTTAACTTCTGTTTCAAAAACTACTTTCCTTGATATTAAAGTCGTTGAAATAATCTACACCTTCTGCTCAATCCTGCAGACTTAAAACATCATCACCACTGTCTTTGGCTCATCTCTTTCCCAGAGGACACACATTTAACAAAATTTCCAAGTTAACCTCCTATGTTAATCTCTCACACTTCCCCCATCTTTTTCATTTTTACTTCTCTTATCCTACTAGAGAGCCTCATTATCTATTGCAAAGATTGTTGCAGTACATTTAACTAATTTCCTATGTTTTTGTACTCCAAGTGGTTTTTTACTTTGCTAAATGTAGTCATAAAATAAAGGTCTTACATTGTCTCAGGGTTTAAAATCCTTCAAGTTCTCATCTCCTATAGAAACACACATTCTTTAATATCAGCCTTGGTTCTGGTTCCTGGTTCTCATTCAACATAGATCCTCCTTTCAGTCTCCCATATTGCCCCATGGAATTTCAGATGGAAACATTGAATTCTTCATGATTTTGAATGTATAATTTTAAATTTCCATCATTTTTGCAAGTAGTTTGTTATAAGGTGGAAAAAGCATGAATTTTTGGTAATTGAAAGCTTTCAAATTCTAGTTCTGACGTACACTATGCAAGCTCAAGAATTAGTGAACCACATTTTCATTATCTATCAAATGTGGCTAATACATACCTTAAAGGGTTATTGAAAGATTAAATAAGACCATACATACAATATGTTTAACACTTTTACTAGCTCATGGCAGCTTTTCAATAGTTGTGAGTTCTCCTTTTTAACATGACTTTTTGATTATGATTATGATATTTCCTCAGCCAGTGATGTATTACTATATACTCCTATTAAATATTACAATTTTTATTTGCCTTTTGAAAATATTTTTAATTCTTCTTTGAGTACTTTAATTAGTCTTCTTTTTTCATTCCAAAGGCACATTCTTTTTTTTTTTTTTTTTGCTTCTGTGTCTATATTATTATTATTTTTATTATACTTTAAGTTCTAGGGTACACTTGCACAAAGTGCAGGTTTGTTACATAGGTATACATGTGCCATGTTGGTTTGTTGCACCCATTAACTCATCATTTACATTAGGTATTTCTCCTAGTGTTATCCCTCCCCCTGCCCCCCAACCCATGACAGGCACCCGTGTGTGATGTTCCTCGCCCTGTGTCCAAGTGTTTTCATTGTTCAATTCCCACCTATGAGTGAGAACATGTGGTGTTTGGTTTTCTGTCCTTGTGATAGTTTGCTCAGAATGATGGTTTCCAGCTTCATCTATGTCCCTGCAAAGGACATGAACTCATCCCAAAGGCACATTCTTGAAGGTGCATGTTAGCACTTCTTGCCTTGCAGTTATTATGCTATGCAGATCTTAGGACATCTCTAATATGGAGAAAGCCACTGTTAAACCTTCTTGAGTTCTACCTTAAATATTTTTCCAAATACATTTTTAGTGACTTTAAATCTAGGGTTAAAATGCTTTGTTTTCTTCCATTTGTTATTTAGGAAAGGCCTACTTGCTTGGGGAAATAAGAACTTTAGATCACTTTCCTTGAAAGGCAATCTCAGAATTGCTCATGCTTTACACAAAAGGTAGAGCACGCTTTCTCTTTCAAGTATAATGCGTCCCTTCTCTTCTACAGAATTTTTCAAAAGTTGACTGAAGTATCCTTCATGCTGTAGCATACTGAGCAGTATATATTCCCTGGAAATGCAAAGTCCAAATAAAACCTTTCTGTGGGTTTTCCAGTCCACTGTTCTGAGTATTCTTTATTCTGAGATTTTTGCATATAATTCTTAGGAAATCCTGATTTTTCACTGTGTCTAGATTTCACTCATGCCTCTGAAATGAATGTTTTTTACAGGACTTGAAGGTAGTATATACATTAGCCAAGGACGGAGGATAATTTGAGAGAGTCAGATGAACTGTAATGGGTTTTTATAGCAAAGCTTTTGACAAAAATCGTTCTGTGTTTTGCCTTCAAAACTAGAAATTACTATATACTTCTGTATATAAGACTAAGTTAGACAAACTATACCTTAACTAATAAAAATGATCAAAGCTATTGTCTAACACCACAGAATTAGGTCATGTGTTTGTGTGTGCATGTGTATAAAATTTGAAAACATTTTTCTGGCAATCAACCAGAAATATGCCAATTTTTAAAGTTACTTAAATTTTTTTCCAAACTAGATATATAAAAGTTCAATGATTTGAGGATCTGTATCAGCACCAGATGATCTGTTATTTTTCAGCAAGTGTATCTGGTTTGCAGTTGATTCTTGTTTGAACTAACATGAGGTTTTCCTTCCAATTATTGGCTTAGATCTTGATCATACCAGAAGTTATGCCAGAAAAGTCCAAATGACCTTTTGTTTTTCTTACAAGTATTTACTTCTTCACTACACAACACCGTGTTGAACTCTCAACATATTAATTCAACACCAAGTAAATATAAAATCTATTCATTTGCTCTCATAAATTGTAACTAATTTCGTGACAAAGTTTTAAGTTTTGGGGTGTGAGTCCTAGAACTAAGTTTTAGCACTTCCAACTTTTAATGATACAGGTTTTGTACATCATTTGCATTTAACATTTACATCAGTAAAAAGACATATTGTTTGTTGAGGTAATCAAGTTGCTTTTTGTTCCAGAAATGCAAATTATTTTTTTCTCATACTGATTCTGATTCTAACACAGTTAGTTCCAAAAGGCATTCCTGGCTGTTCCAAATTGTGCACGGAAATGCTTCCAGGTTGTGTTTCATTATTAATATCACTTCCTTGTTATCTCACTGATTCGAAGACTCATTATTATAGTATGTAAAAGGAAAGTATCAGAAACTTTTTCATACTTTTTGTCCCACTATTCCACTCATTTCAAAATTTAATAATAAATTATTTAATTAAAAATACAAAATCACTGCATACTTATTTGTTAAAAAAGAATTACACTGAATTTTTAAGAAGCAATAGTATCTACATAAATTGGGGTTGATAAGCTTATGAGACTCATGATTATTCCAAAGTATAATGTGCTTCACATTGAATGCCCAGTGTAGCCACACTGCCCATTTAGACTTGGGACAACATGCAGAGAGTGATGGAATGTTTCTCAGGTGACTCTGACAGGAGGCTCATTGATGAGTGGTTGCTATACTATTTTTACAATTAGCTTGAACTAATAAATTCATTTTACTAATTTTTTTACTACTTAACACAGTTACTATCTCTGTATGTACCAACCAGTATAGAACTATTTTAATATATTTCCATAATATAATGTGCCTACTAGCCAAGTATAATCCTTGCTGAACATGTTTACAAAGAGTCTCGGAGACATAACATATTTTGCAAGAACATGTAAAGCGATATTTGATTATGAGACAAGAATTTGTTAGATAAAACCATAGCAACCTACTCTAACTGTTCAATAACTTCATTTTATGTCTACCCACTATCACTTAAAGCTGAAAATGCTCCTCACCAAGTTGCGTAATGCCCCCTTTACATTCTTATTCCGCAGGGTGTAGATAAAAGGGTTGAGTGAGGGAGTCACCACTCCATAGAAGAGGGCCATGAACTTGGGTTGATCCCTTGAGATGGAGGAGGGGGGCTGAAGGTACATGCTGATGGCTGGGCCATAAAATAAGAAAACTACAATAAGATGGGAGGAGCATGTCCCAAAGGCCTTTTTCCTTCCCTTGGAAGATTTGATCTTAAATACAGCACTTCCAATACTAGCATAGGAAGCAAGAATTAAGCATAGTGGGACAGCTAACATAAAAATGCATACCACAGAGAGTGTGAGCTCGTTAGAACCCTTTTCACCACAGGCAATCTTTATCAGAACAGGAATCTCACACACCAAGTGGTCCAGTTTATTGAGACCACACAGTGGCAATTGTAATGTGGCAGTGGCCTCTGAGACAGCATAGATTATTCCAATTAGCCACACGGTGGAAACTAAGGATACAGACGCGCTGATTCATGATGAGGGTGTAGTGAAGAGGTCTGCAGATGGCCACATAGCGATCAAAGGACATAATAGCCAAAAGCAAACATTCTGTTCCCCCCATTATGTGAAAGAAATAAAGCTGAACCGCACACCCCATATAGCTGATGGTCTTCTTAGAGCTTCCCAGGTTAAACAGCATCTGAGGGACAATGCTTGTGGTATAACACATGTCCAAAAAGGAGAGGTTGGTGAGGAAGAAATACATGGGGCTATGAAGACGAGAGTCTAACCTGGACATGAGAATGATTGTGATGTTTCCCATCACGGCTATAGGGTACATTATAAGAAGACTAGTGAACAGAGGAAGCTCTAGCCAAGGGCGGTCTGCAAAGCCTAGCAGAATAAATTCTTCAGGGTGGCTTTCATTAGTTAGTGGCATTATCTTCAATTTGTTTCACCTGTAGTAGGGATATGCCAAAGAAGGTAGAGCTATGGGTATCGACAAAACATGGTGATGCATTGATTGTCTACTTATAGATGACAGGGTGCAGTAACCTGGGGTCAGAATAACATAAAACATCTGGTATCAGGTGATCTTATTTTCCTATGGGACACTACAAATTAAAGGCAGATATCTTAATCCAGTAACCCAACCATTCTGAAATGGAATTTCTTCTTCTGTGTAAGAAGGTTGACAATAACTACCATTCTTGAGTGAGGTGAGGATTAAATACAAAGTAAAAGTGACCGTATAGTTTTCAAACTTTGAGTTGCATAAAAATCAGCTGAGAAGGTTGCTAGAATGAAATTTATTGTTTCCTATCTTTAGGTGTCTGATAGAGTAAATGTGGCCTGGGGCTGAGGAACAGGATGGTTCATTTTCAGAAACAGTGCTGCAAGGCATTACTGAAATGCTAAGAAGAATAAACATATTGAGGTAGCAATGGTAGGAGAAAAAGGAGGAGAAAACCTGGAGTCATAAGAATCATCAAGATAGCATTGTCCAGCTCCAACTAGTTAGTTAAATAATCATATCATCTCCAAGGGAGGCAAGAAGACTTTTGGATTTAAATCTATCTCAGCGATTTGAAATTGAACAAGAAAATTAAATACTTTTATTGTCTGTTTTCTCAAGTATAAATTGAGAGAGTTAACCTACAATGACAAAGTTTCCCTATGCTCAGGAATTCGATTTTGCATTCTTGGGCTTTTATTCATTACGATTTAGTTCAACCTTTGGGCATTTGATATTTTATGTTAAATTTTAGCTAACATCCATTTTGAAAAAAATTTTTTTATTCAATGAGATTATCATCTTGCTTTAATATAAGAGTTTGGATAGTTGTCATGACCCACTGATTGCACATAACTACAAATATGTCTTTTAGTTCTGAGTGACTGCAGTCAGGACAAAAGTTGATGTCCCAATTTAGGCTTAGAGACAGTCAAATCTGAAATTATTTTACATTTTCAAGACCTTTCCTTTTTTTTCAGCTAGAAAGTACATTGATATACCAACCTCAACTAGTTTAGTGAAGCAGTATTTTGAGAAAGATTAATTTTTTGCTCATATGCTTTTCTTTTAGTGGTGACATGTGTTTTATGAATATCACAATTTTCTGCAGGATGAGAAATATTCGGTTGAAAAGTTAAGATAGCATCTCAGTGACAACATTCTGAGTAACTCTGCCAGTCAATTAGTTGTTTAATGGTAACAGATTACATTTATAAGTTTATAAAGCACAGCTTCCACATTCTCTGTTTCATTACATCTTCAAAGTCATCCTGTGAGGTGTCATACAAAGCTCCTCAGGGCTAACATGTGAATGTTGCCCTTTGATTATATGCTATCTCACGCCGGAAGTGTGCAAAACAATAATAACACTCTTTCCAACTAGTCCTTAGTGAACCCTCTGTGTCAAACACCCCCATATGCTTTCTACACCATTAAATCATTTAGTATCCATCCCCAAACGCTATGACAAAGAAAATTTTACTATCCATATTTTAAGATATTGTTAATCATTTGTTTCCATACTCTGCTAATGACTAAGAACATCCTAAAGATTGAAAAGTAATTGCTGCTTTAAATGAGGTAATAAAATATTGAGACTATAAACTCAGAGTTTCAAGAGCCCCAGAAAGCATCTGTACTCGAGGGTTGTTCCTGAATGAGTGTGACCCCCTTCACATTATTTGACCTTGATTTAATCAAGATGTTATATGAGTGCATCAAATTTAGAAATATGTCTTGGCCTGAGTGCTTTTTCAGATGAAAATCCGTATTGGAAATGAAAGATGAAATAAAGGCATGATATAAACTAATTTGATGTCAAAATAAATACAGTCATACATAGCTTAACAAGAGGAATATAGTCTGAGAAATGTATTGTTAAGTGATTTTGTCATTGTGTGAATATAATAGAGTGCACTTACACAAACTTAGATGGTATGGCCTAGTACACACTTATGCTATGTGATATAGCCTATTGCTCCTAGGCTACAAACTTGTGCAGCATGTTACCTTACTGAATACTGTGGACAATCATAATTCAATGGTAAGTATTTATGTATTAAGCGTATATAAAAATAGAAAAGGTACAATAAAATATGGTATAAAAGATAAAAAATGGTATACCTATATTGGGCACTTACCATAAATGGATCTTGCAGGACTTGAAGTTGCTCTGGGTGAGTCAGTGAGTGAATGGTGAGGGAATGTGAAGGCCTAGACCACTACTGTACACTACTATAGACTTTGTAAACACTGTCTATAGCCTACACTAAATTTACTAAAAAACACTTTTCTCTGTTTAATAATAAATTCATTTTAGCTAACTGTAACATTTTTACTTCATAAACTTCTTAATTTCTTTAACTTTTTGATTATTGAATAACACTTAAACCCATCATACAGCTGTACAAAAGTATGTTCTTTGTTTATATCCTTATTCTATAAATTATTTCTATTTTTTTAAGTTTTTTAACTTTTTTGTTAAAAATGAAGACACAAACACACACATTAGCCCAGGCCTACACAGGGTCAGGATCATCAATATCATTGTCTTCCAGCTCCTTGTCCCACTGGAAGGTTTTCAGGGGCAATAACATGCATGGAGCTGTCATCTCCTATGATTATAATAACAATATCTTCTTCTGGTATACTTGCTGAAAGACTTGTGTGAGGCTGTTTTACAGTTAACTTTTTAAAAATAAGTAGGAGTATAAAAAATCATAAAAAGTATAGTATAGCAAAAATATAAACCAGTAACATATTTATTTATCATCATCAAGTATTATGTACTGCACACAATTTTATGTGTTATTCTTTTATATGACTGGCAGTGCAGGTTTGATTATACCGTCATCACTGCAAACACTTGAGTAATGTGTTACATTATAACATTATCATGGATACAGTGTCACTAGGCAACAGGAATTTTTTAGCTCCATTGTAATCTTATGGGACCACTGTTGAACACATGCATGGTCAGTCATTGATGAAAATGTCATTATGTGGTGCATGCCTGTATTCTGAGAATTGCAAATTACATTATTAAATAATTTCACTATTAGATACCTGCTATCTTTATTTAACATTGTTATGTTCACCTTTTATATTTTTTCTACCAGGGACCATCCTTGAATTTTTTAAAAAGCAATTTTAGATTTGATCCTCCATGAATTCTTCCATAATTATAACTAATTATAACTACCTTTAATGACAATATTCACTCCAGTATGTCTTCCGCAATTTTATTAAATTTATATTATTTGGGATTTTGTTATTAACTTTATTAAGTATATTTTGTCTGTGAGTGGTGGTCACCCAGAGCTCCTCCATTTCTCTGGACATTTCCCTGAAGACATCAGACTAGGAATGACTAATCAATGTGATTTAATTTTGAAGTATATTTAAGCTCTGTAATTCTATTCTTAGATCTCATATTTTTTTCTCATGTCATTCTTGTATTTTATTTCTTTTAGCTTTGGGATTTTATCTGTCTTTTGGATCTTATACTTCAAGAAATGTTTCATCACTATTTTACTACATGGGGATTTACTTAATCACAAATGTTTAAAGCCACTTTATTAAAGTGCCAGACCCATGAGTTGAGTAAATTCCTCTCCTCATGGGGTCCCAAGATAAAGCAGGAATCCTTGGAATGTTAGAAAATGACATTCTTTACTTACCACAGGCCAGAAACCCTGTATAGGGACTGTGTAGGCAAGGTAGAAGGTCAGTTCCCCAAGGGGTTTTTATTGGCTCTATAAGTCAAGTTTCATTCCTTAAAGGAAAACACACCATTCCAGTCAAAGCCTTGGTAAAATAACCAATTTCTCCAACTGTGTCCGGCTACAAAAAAAAAAAAACAGATTCTTATTGCACTTATGCAAATAAATATATTGCCATCAGTTAAGAATACTCACAAATAGTCTCCAAATTCTGGAGAAATCAGGTAGAGAGAAACAAATATGGTCCATTTTTTTTTTTTCCACAGAAGTATACTTTACTCAATTGCTAAAGGCTGTAAATAGCTCAAAGTAAAAGTTTTCTTAACTCTGGAAAACAAAACAAAGGGTTAGCAACGTTTTAAGCAAAGTCAAAAAGATTAGTTTATTCTTTTAGTTTAGTTTATGCAGTTAACTCCTGTTCTGTTTGATATTCATGAACATTCCTGTTCTTCACGAGAGTTGCAAAAGTTGTTTCCTCTATTCTAATGTCACAATTTCCAAAGTTATCAGAAACCTGCATTTAAGAACATCCGTTAGAGTTGTATAGCTGACTATAAACCACCTTTTGAAGAGGATTAAAACAAGACAATTGTCTGTGTATGACAAAACTCGTTACCACAGCCACTGGCAAAAACGTGATTGACAAAGAAATTTTGGTAATGTATAAAATAATTATTCTTGTTCCACTTTATACAAATAATCAGGCCAAGTGCAATAAAGTAAATCAGTCTTATCATAATTTGTCTTCAGTAAAAATGAGAAACTGAAGTGAGAAAAATTATGTTTCAAGAAGTATGGTACACTTGTTATTAAATTCTAGTCTCATGAGTTGTTTTTAAGTTTGTTTCTACAATTTAGGCTAAACCTGCTTATTCCTGTGAACCAACCAGTGATCTTAGACTGTTACTCAGAAGATACAAGAGGTTTGGGTAATGTAAAAATCTGGACCAATATTCTAATCATGGGCACATATTGGAATCATCTGGCAACCCTGTATCAGCTTGGTTTTAACAGTTGCTCAGTTCATGGGAAGCCTTTAAATTTAGTTTACCTGGAATAATTTTACTTATTTTGCTTTGCTGCTGTGGAATACATTGCATTTGTACTCTTTGCATACGGATGCAGAATATGCTTAGTGAATGTTTTCTTAAATGGAACACTTATCAATCTTTCAGATAGCACCTCTTGTTGAAACTCAGAGTTATGAATGGCTCTCATCATACCAATGCTTTTTGACGAGCTCCTCTCTACCCCAAATACGAGAGACTCTAATTGTTAGGCAGGAATATCATTGCTCCTCTTAAGCCTGAAGAAGCTACAGAAGGAGATGGATCTTTGTCCCTCTCCAACCCTTAGGATTAAGGGTTCTCTTGTAAAGGGGAGGGAGGAAATGTCAGAGGCATGTGAGCCAGAGCAGCTCCATCTTGAATAGCAGCTGGGTAAAATGAGGTTGAAACCTACTGGGCTGCATTCCCAGATGGTTAAGGCATTCTAAGTCACAGGATGAGACAGAAAGTCAGTACAAGATACAGGTCATAAAGACCTTGCTGATAAAACAGATTACTCTAAAGAAGATGGCCAAAACCCACCAAAAACAAGATGGCGATGAGAGTAACCACTGGTCATCCTCGCTGCTACACTCCCATCAGTGCCATGACAACGTCAGGAAGTTGCCCTATATGGTAGAGTACATTTGTTTACAAATGCCATGGTAACATCAGGAAGCTACCCTGTATGTTCTAGAAAGGGGAGGCATGAATAATCCACCCCTTGTTTAACATATCATCAAGAAATAACCATAAAAATGGGCAACCAGCAGCCCTTGGGGCTGCTCTGTCTATGGAGTAGCCAGCCATTCTTTTACTCCTTTACTTTCTGAATAAACTTGCTTTCACTTAAAAAAGATAAATAAAGTACCAGACCCTATTCCTGTTGATGTCTCCTGTTTTATCTCCACTTCCATCTTCATTCTAGTGTAGCTTATACTTCATTTTTACCATACACAATATTTTCTTTATATGTACTGCACTTGTAGACTTTCTATATAGTAAAAGATCATAAGAAGAAATAAAAGTTATTTTTATCTGACATTAGGAATCTGCATGAAACACACAGACAAATCAATCCATCCAATTTTGAACATATATTCTAAAAATCCACCTGATTGAAAGAAGGCTTCATATTTGTTTTGGGCATTTAATATTTCTCAGATATAGTGTATAAATCTCCCTCTCAGTCTCTCACTGAAACCAAATTTAAAATCATAATGATTTTAAATGGGTTTAATGTTTTTAAATTTGGTTTCAGTGAGAGATTGAGAGATAGATTAATTACAAAGAGAAATCTAGTTGCTTCTTAGAACCACTGAGCAGCTGTTTCCAAAGGTTAGAAAAGGCTCCCTGAAATGAAATGCTCTCTGCCTTTCAGATGTATATTAGGCAGTGGCAGTATGATCTACACATATTTCAATTTCCCTAAGAATGCATGGACTTGAAAACGTGCCTTTTTACTCACCTTTTGATAAATATCTTTCAATAAAAAGGAATTATGAAGGAATACACTTGAATTTTTCAAACGTTCAGAGGATGGATAAACTGTAGTATACATGAGTATTTAAGAATTAGCTTCACAACTTAGGTTTTCAATTGTTACAGGGTTCCAAAGAGAAGAAAACATGGGTTAGGAAGACAATAGTAGAAAATATCAGAATGCTTTGTGGATGTGTTATTTGTAAGCTCTTCCTGAGACCTCTTGGGCATTGTTTTCCAACAGGCCATTAATCCTTATCCCAGATGAGGAGTTAGCAGAGAAAATTCCTTGGGACAGAGATCTCTATGGAAATGCTACTTATGTACAATTAGTTTCCTACTGAACTGAGGTTGGTAGGAAGTCTCTTCTGTTGTCAGATGTGTTTTAAAATACATTTACTCAATTTCCCAAAACAGTAGACACTAATTTTAAATGAGATGCAATTAGAGATGAGCTAGTTTGAATAAATGATTCTGGGGAACTTAAATGAGAATTCCCTGAATACCTTACCTCATTAACTTCTAGACTACCTCACATAAAATTTAATCATTTCTAGTTGTAAGAATAAAGGGGCACAAAAATGAGTTGAAAAGGAAGAAAGATAATAAAAAGATATTTCCAATGAGAAGGAATCAAGTGATAGTTTAAAACATTTCATAATATTTAATGCTTTCATATTAAAATGATGAAATGATAATTTCTTCACTCTCACCAAGCACATACCACATAACATTAGGCAGATACACAGATAACTTTGAGATTTTAAAAATTACATACAAAATGCATAAATACATTATGTTGAAAAACAAATTCAAGTGCATGGGATAGCAAATACAAATTTAAAGGGTTTTTTTTTTAAGATGGAGTCTTGCTGTGTGGCCCAGTCTGGAGTGCAGTGGTATGATCTCAGCTCACTGCAACCTCTGCTGTACAGTTCAAGCGATTCTCCTGCCGCAGCCTCCCAAGTGGCTGGGATTACAGGCATTCCCTTTGATGACCTACTGTCATGGTCTGTTGTCCCTCTCCTTTCTTTAAAGGTAACCGTTAGTGTCATAAGGGTGTGCATCTTTCCACATTACATATGTGCTGGATATTTTCCACTCCCCCTTCCTTCCCCTGCCCCAGATTCACTCTCTATCCAACCATGTTTGTTTCTACCCTGTGTTGTGCCTCTAGAGGCGAAATCAAGAGAATTCCATGATATTTGACTTCTGGTTGTGTTCAGCCAATGAGTCACCAGCTGAGGATTAGAGTGAGGCAGCAGCTAGTTTGAAGTATTTTCCCCTACCCTCTCCTTCAGATGGGACAAATGAGGCTACTTGTATTGCTCAACCAAAGATCACAGGTCATGGATGTAGCCACGTACAGGTTCTCTCTCTTTCTGCTTTGTAATAGTACTTTCTCCCTTTGCTACTTCAGGCCTTGTGTTGGTTGCTAAGCCTCCCAACTGTTGCTAGATTCAGAGTAGTCCATATATAATACATATACAGAAATCCCTTGTTGATGTTCCTAAATCCTTCTCACAACTTTGTATTTACTTCTTTTGTTAAACCTCTTTCAGTTCCCATAGGAGCATGCCATCTATTTTCTGCTGGGACCATAGGTGACTGTAACTTTCCATTACAAACAAAGGTCATTTCCTGCTTTAGGACTTTTGAATTAGATGTTTTTAGGTCTAAAATGCTCTTTCTTTGATTTTATCATGACTAGCTCCTTTCTGTGTTTCAGGTTGATCTCAAATGTCACCTAAGAAGGAATATCTAATATGAATATACTACACAGTATCTCTATATCATATTCTCTTTTAATTTTCTGCAAAAGAATGAAAGCTTTCTTAGTTATTTTGCTTTTGAAGTCTCCCCCTCTAGTATGCATAGTTTTTGACAATAGCAACTTAAATAATACAATTAAATCATCTTGAACATATTGTTACTTGATTTTTACATACATATGTACACGCACACACACGCACACACACTTTTTGTCATTTCAGAGACAATGACTGATAAAGGAATTTTTTTCTTTTAAACACATCTCTAGCTTATCTACTTTTGCTGAATTCCATAAACTTTGGTATGTTGTGTTTCTATTTTCATTCTTTGCAAATTATTTGCTATTTTCCCTTGTGATTTCCTCTGAGCCATTCATTATTTAGGAATGTGTTGTTTCATCGCCACTTACTTGTGTATTTCACAATATTTTGCCTGATATTGATTTCTAATTTTATTCCATTGTGGTTAGAGGACATCCTTTACATTATTTTAATCTTTTAAATGTATTGTGATTTGCTTTATGACCTTATAGACTAATCTGTAGAATGTTTCATGTGCCCTGAGTAATATATGTATTCTACTACTATTGGGTGGAGTTTTCTGTAGAGGTCAATTAGCTGTAGTTAGTTTATAATGCTGTTCACATCTTCTATTTCCTTGTGGACCTTTATCTAATTGTTCTATTGTTATTGAAAGTGGGATGCTGACATTGAACTATAATTATGGAATTATCTATTGCTCCAAACAGTTCTGTTAGTCTTTGTTTTATGTAGTTTGGAGATCTGCTGCAAGGTGCATATGTACTTATAATTGATGTATCTTCTTGATGGACCAGCGATTTTATCATCATAAATTGTCCTTCTTTGTTTCCAGTAATAATTCTTGTCTTTTTGTTGATATTGTGTAATATCAGTATAGCCATCCATTAGCACTCTATCTTGCTTACTCTTTGAATGGAATACTTTTTTCATCTTTTCAGTTTCAACCTATTTGCATTTTTGAATCTAAAGTGAATATATTGTTGACAGTATATCATTGGATTGTCTTTTTAAATAAACCTTGTGAATCTCTTCCATTTTTTAAATGAATAGACTATTTTTCAGAAGCTTTAGGTTTACAAAAAATTGAATGGAAGGTGTAGAGAACTCACATGTAACCCCTTTTACTCCCTCCCCCAGAGTTTCTTTTATTATTAACAACTTGCATTCATGTGGTACATTTGTTATAATTGATAAGCCAATATTAATACGTTATTAGTAACCAAATTCCATAGTTTACATTAGGGTTGATGGTGTGTGTTTTACATTCTATGGGTTTTGACAAATGTTTAATAACATGTATTCCCCCATTCAGTATCATAAAGAATGGTTTCACTGCCTTAAAAATTCCCTGTTCTCCTTCCATTCATCATTTCCTCCCCTCCTCCCCGGGAGCCCCTGACAACCACTGATTTTTTATTGTTTCCATAACTGTGCTTTTTCCAGAATATCATACAATTGAAATCATATATAATATAGACTTTTCTGACTGGCTTCTTTGACTTAGTAATATGCATTTAAATTTCTTCCAGGTCTGGGCTTTACAACTCATTTTTTATAATTGAATAATATTCCATTCTATGAATGTACCACAGTCTGCTTATTCATTCATTTATTAAAGGACTTTTTTTTTTTTTTGCTTCCAAGCTTTGGAAATTAGGAATAAAGCTACTGCAAACATTTGTGTACAGGTTCTGTGTGGACATAACGTTTCAGATTATTTGGGTTAATACCAGGACACGTGAGTGCTGGATTCTATGGTTAAGATGTTTAGTGTTGTATGAAACTGTCCAGTTGTCCTCTAGAGTGGTTGTACACTTTTGGATTTCTGTAATCAGTGAATGAGAGTTCCTGTTATTTATCTCTTTGTCAACATCTGATGTTTTCAGTGGTTTGCTATGGTTGATAATGTCTCAGATTTCTTTAGGCTGTTTTATTTTTCTTCATTCTTTTTTCTTTTTATTACTCTGACTAGATAATCTCAATTGACCTATCTTGTAGTTTGTTGATTCTTCCTTCTGCTTGTTAAAATCTGGTGTTCAGGTCTTCTGCTGCATTTTTTATTTCCATCACTGTACTTTTTCATCTCTAGAATTTGACTTGGTTCTTTAACAACAAATAATGTCTATCTCTTTAATAATTTTCTCTATTTAGTGAGAAATAGTTGTCATATCTTCCTTTAGTTCTTTAAACATGGTTTATTTCAGCTCTTTGACCCTATTTTTAAAGTAGCTGATGTAAGCCTTTGTCCAACAAGTTCAACACCTAGATTTGCTGCTATTGATTGCATTTCCCCCTCCTTTTATGACCCATACTTCCTGTGTCTTTCTTCACTTGTATTATAATTTTATGTTGAAAACTAGATACTTCATTTCATTTATTTTTATTTTTAAAACTTTTATCTTAAGTTCAAAGGTACATACGCAGGTCATGGGGGTTTGTTGTAGAGATTATTTCATCACCCAGGTATTAAGCATAGCATCCATTAGTTATTTTTCCTGATCCTCTCTGTCCTCCCATCCTCCACCCTCCACCAGGCCACAGTATGTATTGTTTCCCTCTATGTGTCCATATGTTTTCATCATTTAGCTCCCAGTTACAAGTGAGAACATGTGGTATTCAATTTTCTGTTACTGTGTTAGTTTGCTAAGGATAATGGCCTCCAACTCCATCTATGTTCCTGAAAGGGACATGATCTCATTCTTTTTTATGGCTGCATAGTATTCCACGGTGTGTATGTACCACATTTTCTTTATCGAGTCTATCATTGATGGGCATTTAGGTTGATTCCATGTCTTTGCTATTGTGAGTAGTGCTCCAATAAACATATGTATGCATGTGTTTTCACAATTGAACAACTTATATTCCTTTGGGTGCTTACCCAGTAATGAGATTGGTGGGTCAAATGGTATTACTGTCTTTAGAACTTTGAGGAATTGCCACAATGCCTTCCACAATGGTTGAACTAATTTACACTCCCACCAACAGTGTATACATGTTTGTTTTTCTCCATAACCTTCCCAGCATCTGTTCTTCTCTGACTTTTTAATAATAGCCATTCTGACTGGTGTGATAAGGTATCTCCTTGTGGTTTTGATTTGCATTTCTCTAATGATCAGTGATGTTGAGCTTTTTTCATATGATTGTTGGCTGCATGTATGTCTTCTTTTGAAAACTGTCGGCTCATGTTCTTTGCTCACTTTTTAATGGGGTTGTTTTTCTTTCTTATAAATTTGGAAAACTAAATATTTTAAATACTAGAAATGGCAACTGTGGAAACCAGATTCTCCCTGTCTCACTAGAATTTGTTGTTGCTGCTTATTAATGTAGTTGTTGCTGCTTATTAATGTAGTTGTTGCTTGCTTGTTTAGTGAATACTCCCAAATAATTCTCTAAAGTCTGCCTTCTTTGTGGTGTAGGGCCATTAAAATCTGTACTCAGGTAGTCTAGTGGCCAGCAAATAATTGGACAGAAATTTCTTTCAATGCCTGGGACTAATAAATCTTCCAGTTTCTGTCAAAGACCTCTATGTTCATATTGAGGCATGACTCTGACACCTAGTCAGGCAGTTCACATCTCTACCTTAGCCTCCACTTACTTCTTCCTGAAATACTGAAGGTCAGCCAGAGACAAGAGTTTAGAATCTTCTCAGTTCTTGCTTGAGCATTTATAGAGTCCTGAATCTGAACACAGCCATATGCATATACATGAAATTCCTGGCATATGGCAAAGATTTTCAAAATCCCTATAGACATCCCATTCCTTACATTTTTTAAGCTCTTTTATTGCTTTATGGTCTGCCCCAACTTTTATCAATTGCTTTAGTCAGAAGTGAAGTTAAAGCAGTCACTTGAAATTATTTTCAACAAATACCTGCTGAGAAAATGCTTTTTGCATTGGTCGAGGTCTGAGTCATGGTCAAATACAGACAGACTCATGAATGAAGTCTTCCAAAAAGCCCCAGCCAGGTAAATTAAAGACATATCTTTATAAGTTTATACATATATCTTTATAAAAGGTATATAAAATATTTCACTTTTCATTCTTTTTTGGTATTTTGGTATTTCAGGAGATTTGATTTTTTTTGTTTTGATGCTTATATTTACACATTAGTCCCTCTTTTAGGCATCATTGATTGGTTTTCTAAAATGAGCACTATATTTATTTATTTATTTAATTTTTCAATATATTATAGTTGTACATATTTTGGGGTAGATGTGTTTTCTTACACATATACAATGTGTAATGATTAAATCAGAGTGATTATAATATCTATCACCACAAACACTTTGTGTTGTGAAAATTACAATTTTTTTCTAGCTATTTTGAAATATACAATATATGTTATGCTAATATTAATAAATGTTAGTTGTATTTTCTCTACTGTATTATCAAATACTAAAAATTATTCCTTGTATCTAACTCTATTTTTGTACCCACTAACAAACTCTTTTTCATCTGTTTTTCCTTGCATCCATTTGCAGACTCTGATAAGCACCATTCTACCCTTGACCTTCATAAGATCCACTTTTTTTAGCTCCTGCATACCAGTGAGAACATGATATATTTGTATTTCTGTTCATGGTTTATTTCACTTAACATAATGACTTCCAATTTTATCCATGTTGCTACTAATGAAAGGATTTCATTATTTTTTATGGTTGAATGATATTCCATCATGTATATATATTACATTTTCTTTATCCATCCTTCTCTTGCTAGACACTGGTGTTGCATTCTTTGTGTGTTTCTATAGGTGAAGTGAGGTTCTTTTTTTTCTTTCCAATTTTTTTTTTTGCTTTTTTTTATTTTTAATTTTTTTTATTATACTTTAAGTTTTAGGGTACATGTGCACAACGTATTTCAGGTTCAAGTGGTACATGTGCAGGTTTGTTACATCAGTAAATTTTTTGTTATGGGGGTTTGGTGTACAGATAATTTTGTCACCCAGGGAATTAGCATTATACCCATTAAGTAGCTTTTCTTTTTTTTTAAACTTTAATTTTAGGTTCAGGGTACCTGTGCAGGTTTGTTATATAGGTAAATTGTGTGTCACATGGGTTTGGTGTACAGATTATTTTGTCACCCATGTAATAAGTGTGGTAACCAATGGGTTGGTTTTGATCCTCACCTCCCCCATCATAGGCCCCAGTTTCTATTGTTCTTTTCTTTGTGTCCTTATGTACTCAATATTTAACTCCCAATTATAAGTGAGAACATGCCATACTGGGGTTTCCATTCCTTCACCAATTTGCTTAGGATGATAGCTTCCAGCTCCATCCCTATTACTGCAAAGACCAAAGTCTCGTTTTTTATAGCTGCATAGTATTCTGTGGTATATATGTTTTCTGTATCCAGTCCACCACTGATGGACAACTAGGTTGATTCTGTGACTTTGATATTGTAAATAGTGCTGCACTGAAAATCTGCATGCATATTGCTTTATGGCAGAATGATTTATATTACTTTGGTTATACACCTAGTAATGGGATTGCTGGATCAAGTGGTAGTTCTATTTTAAGTTATTTGAGAAATCTCCAGACTTCTTTCTACAGTGGCTGAACTAGTTTTCATTTCCACCAGTGGTATATAAATGTTCCCTTTTCTCCACCACCTCACCAGCAAATGTTATTTCCTAACTTTTTAATAGTAGCCATTTTGACCGGTGTGGGACAATATCTCATTGTGGTTTTGATTTGCATTTCTCTGGTGATTAGTGATATTGAACTTTTTAATATACTTGTTAGATGTGTATATCTTCTTTTGAGAAGTGTCTGTTCATGCCATTTGCTCGTTTTAAAAATAGAGTTGTTTGTTTTTCACTTTTTTATTTGTTTAAGTTCCTTATAGATTCTGGATATTAGACCTTTGCCAGATGCATAGTTTGCAAATATTTTCTCCCATTCTGTAAGTTGTGTGTGTATTCCGTTGATAGTTTCTTTTGCTATGCAGAAGCTCTTTAGTTTAATTATATTCTATTTGTCAATTTTTGGTTTTGTTGTGATTGCTTTTGGAGTCCTCGTCTTGAAGTCTTCGTGAAAGTCGATGTCCAGAATGGTATTTCCTAGAATTTCTTCTATTGTTTTTATACATTTGGGTTGTACATTTAAGTCTTTAATCTATCTTGAGTTTATTTTTGTGTATGGTAAAAGGAACAGGTTCAATTCCAGTCTTCTACATATGGCTAGCCTGCTATGCCAGCACTATTTATTGAAGAGTTTCTGGCAGGCAGCAGGCAGCATATAATTTGGTCTTGTTTTTAATTCATTTAACCATTGTATGTCTTTTAAATAGAATGTAGTCTGTTTACATTCAATTTTATTTTTGATAGTTCATGCCTTAGTACTGCCATTTTGTTACTTGTTTTCTAATTTCGTAATTCCTCTCTTCCTTCCTTCCTTCCTTTCCTTCCTTCCTTCCTGCCTTCCTCTCTTTCTCTCTTTCCCCCTCTCCCTCCCCTTCCCCTTCCCCTTCCTTCCTTCCTTCCTTCTTTCCTTTTTTCCTTGTTATTTTCCTCTGGTAGTATGTTTTAATTTGTTGCTTTTTATTGTTAGTGTATCCATTATAAGTTTTTGCACTGTGGTGTCCATGAGGCTTACGAAAAGTATCCTATAATATAACATGTAGTATAAAACTGATAGCAACTTAACTTTGCTCTCATAAATAAAAACAAACTTCCAACTAAAAACTTATACACATTAACTCCATTCTTCACCCATATTTTGAATTTTGATGTTGCAATTTACATTTTTTATATTGCCTATCTCTTAAAAATTGTTGTAGTTATTATTTTAAATTGTTTTTAGTTTTCTTACTAAATAGGTAAGTGGTTTAAATATAATGACTTCATTTTTAGTATGACAATCACATTAACATTCTTTCAGTTTGGTGAACTTCCTTTAGCAGTTCTCATAGGACAGGTTTGGTAGTGATAGAATGAGCATTATTGAAATAGTTAATAACCTCTTCTTTCCTCCATTTCTCCAGCATCTATTTCAAAATGACAATTGATACAATATGTACTTTTTATTTATACAATATATACATACATACTTTTTACACAATTTATTTATACAATATATACATATTTATACTCTATATATATACAATTTATACAATATATACTTTTTAAAAGTTTGGAATGTTGTTATCCTCCTCTAGATAGAATTTATTTTTGCTTTTGGGAAGTAATTAAAGTAGGAAAACATCCCTAATTTTGAATGGGGTGGATAGAATTGGGACATACATTGCTGGTAGGAGCGTAAAATGACACAGACACTTTGGAACACTGTTTTGTGGTTTCTTTAAAAGTTACACATACCTTATGGCCCATTCATTCAACTCTTAAATATCTGTTCAAGAGAAGTAAAAACATTTGCTCAAATGAAGACCTGTGCTGAATATTTATAGCCACTTTTTTCAAAATACTGTGGCGAAAACCTAGAATTACTGTAAGTATCTGTCAACGGATGTAATGAATAAATTATACTATATCCTTATTATTGAACATTACTAGTAATGAAAACAAAACAATGTGCTGGCCTGCAACCATTTTAGATGAATTTCAAAATATTTTTGCTGAATGCAGAAAGCAAGACTCAAAATAATACACACTATGTAGATCTATCACTAAGAATTCAAGAACATGCAAACTTATCTATGAGGGCATAAATTAGAGTAGTAGTTGACTAAGTCTGAAATCAAAAGACAAAATAGATTTTGGAGAGTGATGGAAATGTTCTCTACCTTGATTGAGGTATTGGTATCATGGGTATATACAACTATAAAAATACTGACTTGCATACTTTAAATTATGTAGTTTATTTTGCATATGCTATCATCAGCAAAGGTGATTATATACTCTAGATTGCAGTCATTTTTAGGGCTGGCCTATATTCAGTCTATGGTTATTCATAGGTTGCAGCCATTCACCCATTCTAGCTGAAAGTCTTGGGTATTTATATGGGCCAAAATTTCCATTATTTGTCTCCCCAGAAATGTAAAATCATATAAGCCCTGTTTCTTAGCCTCTTAGTCACCAGATTCTGTTCTGATGTATAGCTGGTGCAAAAAACAAATATCTTTTTAAAAATATTTTTATTATACTTTAAGTTCTAAGGTACATGTGCACAATGTGCAGGTTTGTTACATAGGTATACATGTGCCATGTTGGTTTGCTGCACCCATCAACCTGTCATTTACATTAGGTATTTCTCCTAATGCTATCCCTCCCACAGCTCCCCACCCTCTAACAGGCCCCAGTGTGTGATGTTCCCCATCCTGTGTCCAAGTGTTCTTATTGTTCAATTCCCACCTATGAGTGAGAACATGTGGTCTTTGGTTTTCTATCCTCGTGATAGTTTGCTGGGAATGATGGTTTCCAGCTTCATTCATGTCCCTGCAAAGGACATCAACTCACCCTTTTTTGTGGCTGCATAGTATTCCATGGTGTATATGTGCCACATTTTCTTAATCTAGCCTATCATTGATGGACATTCCAAGTCTTTTCTATCATGAATAGTGCTACAATACACATATGTGTCCATGTGTCTTTATAATAGCATGATTTATAATCCTTTGGGTATATACCCAGTAATGGGATCACTGGGTCAAATGGTATTTCTAGTTCTAGATCTTTGAGGAATCACCACACTGTCTTCCACAATGGTTGAACTAATTTACGTTCCCATCAACAGTGTAAAAGTGTTCCTATTTCTTCACATCCTCTCCAGCATCTGTCCTTTCCTGACTTTTCAATGATTGCCATTCTAACTGGTATGAGATGGTATCTCATTGTGGTTTTGATTTGCATTTCTCTGATGACCAGTGATGATGAGCATTTTTTATGTGTCTGTTGGCTGCATAAATGTCTTCTTTCAAGAAGTGTTTGTTCATATCCTTTGCCCACATTTTGATAGGGTTGTTTATTTTTTTCTTGTATATTTGTTTAAGTTCTTTGTAGATTCTGGATATTAGCCCTTTGTTAATTGGGTAGATTGCAAAAATTTTGTCCCATTCTGTACATTGCTTGTTCACTCTGATGGTAGTTTCTTTTGCTGTGCAGAAGCTCTTTAGTTTAATTAGATCCCATGCATCTATTTTGGCTTTTGTTGCCATTGCTTTTGGTGTTTTAGTCACGAAGTCTTTGCCCATGCCTGTGTCCTGAATGGTATTGCCTAGGTTTTCTTCTAGGGTTTTTATGGTTTTAGGTCTAACATTTAAGTCTTTAATCCATCTTGAATTAATTTTTGTATAGGGTGTAAGGAATGGATCCAGTTGCAGCTTTCTACATGGTGGCTAGCCAGTTTTCCCAGAAAATATTATAAACAACTCTATGGAAATAAACTAGAAAATCTAGAAGAAATTGATAAATTCCTGGACACATACACCCTCCCAAAACTAAACCAGGGAGAAGTTGAATCTCTGAATAGACCACTAACAGGTTATGAAATTGAGGCAATGATTAATAGCCTACCAACCAAAAAAAGTCCAGAACGAGATGGATTCACAGCCGAATTCTACCAGAGGTACAAGGAGGAGCTGGTACCATTCCTTCTGAAACTATTCCAATCAATAGAAAAAGAGAGAATCCTCCCTAACTCATTTTATGATGCCAGCATCATCCTGATACCAAAGCCTGTCAGAGACACAACAAAAAAAAAGAGAATTTGTATTTCTGTGGGATCAGTAGTGATATCTCCTTTATTATTTTTTAATAGATCTATTTGATTTTTCTCTTTTCTTCATTATTAGTCTTGCTAGCAGTCCATCAATTTTGTGGATCTTTTCAAAATCCACCTCCTGGATTAACTGATTCAGATTTTCTATTTTTTCATGATTCATTGTTGTTATGTTTCTAGAAATCTAACCATTTCTTCTAGGTCATCCTATTTGTTGGTGTAAAATTGTTCGCAGTATTCTTTTATGATCTTTTGTACTTCTGTAGTTTCAATTTTAATGTCTCCTCTTTCATTTCTTATTTTGTTAGAGTCTTCTTTTTTTTCTTAGTTGGTCTGCTAAAGTTTTGTCAATTGTTTTTATCTTTTCAAAAACTGAACTGTTAGTTTTGCAAATGTGTTCTTTTGTTTTCTAGTCTCTTACTTATTTCTGCTCTGATCTTTGTTATTTCCTTCCTTCTGCTAACTTTGGGATTAGTTTGCTCTTCTCTTTTTCTAGCTTCTTGAAATGTAACATTAGGTTGTTTGTTTGGGATCTTTCTTCTTTTTTAATATCGGCATTTATTACTATAAACTTTCCTCCTGCTAAGAACTTCTTTTGTTACATCCCATAAGTTGTGGTACGTTGCATTTTCATTTTCATCTGTCTTAAGATATTTTTTAATTTCCCTTTTGATTTCTTCATTAACCCTTTGTTTATTCAAGAGCGTGTTGGTTAATTTCCACGTATGTAATATTTTCAAATTTTATCGTATTATTTATTTCTATTCATTTCTACTTTCATACTTTTGTGGTCAGAAAAGATACTTGATATGATTTCAGTCTTCTTAAAACTGTTGAGTCTTATTTTGTTACCTTATTTGGATAATGTCCCATTTGCACTTGAGAAGAATGAATATTCTGTTGCTGTTGGATGGAATGTTCTATATATGTCTGTTAGGTCCACTTGGTCTAAAGTGTATGTCAAGTCCAGTGTTTCCTTATTGATTTTTGTCTAGATGATATATCCACTGTTGAAAGTAAAGTATTGAAATCCTCTGCTATTATTGTATTGCAGTCTATCTCTTTTCAGGTCTACTAATGCTTTCTTTATATGTATAGGTGATCTTATATTAGGTGCATATATATTTACAATTGTTAAGTCCTTTTCATGAATTGACCCTTTTATCATTACATAATGACCTTCTTTGTCTCTTTTAACAGTTTTGGACTTAAAGTTCATCTCATAAAAGTACAGCTACCCTTGTCTTTTGCTTTCCACTTGCATGAAATAATTTTTTCAATCAATGTGTGTTCTTCAAGTTAAAGTGAACCTCTTACAGGCAGCCTACGTCTGCATATAGTTTTTCATTTTCTTTCCAATGCAAAGCATTTTAGTAGGTTGTCAAATATACAATTATTAGAAATATCTAAATATTACCTGTAAAAACTAGTATATCACATTAGATAATTCTATAAAATAAGGAAACACAAATCACACATTGCCACAACCTCTGCAGTCCAATAATATCCCCCGTTGATAGTACAAATTACAAATACATTTTTAAAATAAAGACATGATTTCGACATTTAAACCAAAGTAACTATGGCTAACCTAAATACATTCATTCATCAAGTACAATAAATTAAGCATTGCTACTTATAGTCACTAATAACAAAATTTTAGGTTCAATTTTACCTAAAATTTCATAAATCTTCCAATACAGTTCCCATAGTAAAGTGTCTTTGTGTGTGCCATTTTAATTTATATGCGGGTGCATCATATATCAGACTTAAGACTATTTCACTTCATAATTAAATTGTTCATACATATATATTGAAAGTGAACACCCGGCCAAAATTTAATCCCAATGATGACAAAATGTAAAATTGTTTTAAATTCTTGAATGCATATACTGATTTGTTTAATTGCCTGCATACTACTTTTTTTAATTAGAGACTATCAAAGTAAGTAATAAGAATTTAAATATTAACTCAAAAAAAGATGAAGCCTTCAACCTTCCTACAATAGTAACAAGCATTTTAAATAACAATACAAGGAGTCTGTAAGCTAAAAAGTAACTTCATATTCATTGCAAAACTTAAAATACCAGTGAATTGAAGATAAGATTGAGGTCTAAAATATTTGTACTGTATTGTAAAATACAATTTAAAATGTGCAGTTAATTTGCTTGTGGACATGTAATGGAATGTTTTTCAACAGTAATGTTATGTTAAACACACTTTAAATGGTCACTCTAAGCAAACATAACCTTACTAGCAAGAAAAGCGAAAAATTAAGGCTTTCATGCTATCTATATCTACTACACAAAGTCAAAAGTCAAATAGAGCTTACAATGTGGCAAAATATTTCTAACTTCTGTGACATTAGTTGCTTCACCTCAACTCAATACTTATCATCTTATCTTTATACAAACTCAAATGCTAGTTATCTTTACTATCCATAAATACAAATTAAACTAAGGAGCTTCCGCACAGCAAAAGAAACTATAAATAGAATAAACAGACAACTTACGGAAGGTGAGAAAAGATTCACAAACTATGCACACAACAAAGGTCTAATATCCAGAATCTATAAGGAACTTAAATCAACAAACATAACCCCATTAAAAAATTAACAAATGACAAAGGATGAACAGACACTTCTCAAAAGAAGACATAAAGGTGACCAATAAACATATGGAAAAAATTGTTCATCATTACTAATCATCAGAGAAACGGAAATCAAAACCACAATGAGATTCCATCTCACACCAGTCAGAATGGCTGCTATTTAAAAGTCAAAAAACAACAGATATTGCGGAGGCTGCAGAGAAACGCGAACGCTTATACACTGTTGGTGAGAATGAACATTAGTTCAGCCACTGTGGAAAGCAGTTTGGAGAATTTTCCAAAAGAACTAAAAACAGAGCTACCATTGGACCCAGCAATTCCATTACCGCGTATTTAGTCAAAGGAAAATATATCATTATACCAAAAGGACACACGCACTCATGTTCATGGCAGCACTATTCACAATAGCAGAGACATAGAACCAACCTAGGTGCCCATCAGTGGTGGATTGGATAGAGACAATGTGGAGTTCCGGCAGAGACCCGGGTGAGACGCGCTGACCATGGGCCTGCGGAGGGGCTGGGGGTTCAGGACCTCCCGCAGCCTCTGCCCTGCAGGCTCCAGGTGCCCTCGCTGTGGCTCCCCTCGCGGGCCCAGGCCTGAAGAAGCCGCGAACCTCTCTTCCCTACCCCACCTCGGTGACAGATGGCAGCTCCTCTCTCAGCCCAGACCCCGCCAGCCTCCATGTCTCCCGGCCCAGCCCTGCGGGGCCTAAACTAAGCCCCTGCCGAGCTGCTAGGATGCAGCGCATTTGAGTGGCTGCGGGCGTGGGGGGCCGGGAAGCATGGCGACCGCCCCAACTCGCAGCGGAGGCCGTTAGGGTGTGGAGGGCGCGGGAAGGTGGGTCGCCTGCCACTGGGGCGCGGGCAGATCGGACCGCTCTGTCCCAACTGGTCGAGACCGACCTAGTCCTGACGACAGGAACAACGGCATTAACAACGGCCGGAAGGTGAGCGGTGTCCCAGACAACGACGGATAGCGGCCACCTGGCCACTGGTCTTCCTTCTCTACCAGACCTGTATGTGGGAAGAGAGAAGTGGTGGAACAACAGGCCACATTTGGCGCATTGGAGATGAAATTCTTGGTTGAAAATTCTTTTCTTTAAGAATGTTGAATATTGGCCCCCACTCTCTTCTGGCTTGTAGGGTTTCTGCAGAGAGATATGCTGTTAGTCTGATGGGCTTCCCTTTATAGGTAACCTGACCCTTCTCTCTGGCTGCCCTTAACTTTTTTTCCTTCATTTCAAGCTTGGAGAATCTGACAATTACGTTTCTTGGGGTTGCTTTTCTCGAGCAGTATCTTAGTGGTGTTCTCGTATTTCCTGAATTTGAATGTTGGCCTGTATTGCTACCTTGTGGAAGTTCTCCTGGATAATATCCTGAAGCTGTTTTCCAGCTTGGTTCCATTCTTCTCGTCACTTTCAGGTAAACCAATCAAACATAAGTTTGGTCTTTTCACATAGTCCCATATTTCCTGGAGGCTTTGTTTGTTCCTTTTCATTCTTTTTTCTCTAATCTTGTCTTCACACCTTATTTCAGTAAGTTGGTCTTCAGTCTCTAATATCCGTTCTTCTGCTTGATCGATTTGGCTATTGATCCTTGTGTATATCTTACAAAGTTCTCGTGCTGTGTTTTTCAGCTCCTCAGGTCATTTATGTTCTCCTCTAAACTGGCTAGTCTAGTTAGCAGTTTCTGTAACCTTTTATCAAGGTTCTTAGCTTCCTTGCATTGGGTTAGAACATGCTCCTTTAGCTCACAGGAGTTTGTTATTACACACCTTGTGAAGCCTACTTCTGTCATTCATCAATCTCCTTCTCCAGTTTTGTGCCCTTGCTGGAGAGGAGTTGAGATCATTTTGAGTAGAAGAGGCATTCTGGTTTTTGGAATTTTCAGCGTTTTTATGCTAGTTTTTCCTCATCTTTGTGGATTTATCTACCTTTGATCTTTGAGGCTGATGACTTTGGATGGGGTTTTTGTGTGACGGTCCTTTATGTTGATGTTGACGTTGTTTCTGTTTGTTAGTTTTCCTTATAACAGTCAGGCCCCTCTTCTGCGGGTCTGCTGCAGTTTGCTGGAAGTGTACTCCAGACCCTGTTTGCCTGGGTATCACCAGCAGAGGCTGTAGAACAGCAAAGATTGCTTCCTGCTCCTTCCTCTGGAAGCTTCGTCCCAGAAGGGCACTGGCCTGATGACAGCTGGAGCTCTCCTGTGTGAGGTTCTGTCAAGCCCTGTTGGGAGTTGTCTCCCAGTCAGGAGGCATGGGGGTTAGGGACCCACTTGAGGAGGGAGTGTGTCCCTTAAGAGAACTGGTGTGCTGTGCTGGGAGAATCCCTCTTGTCAGGATCAGCTGCTGTCTTCAGAGCAGGCAGGCAGGAACGATTAAATCTGCTTGTGCTGTGCCCACAGCCACCTCTTCCCCAGGTGCTCTGTCCCAGGGAGATGGGGGTTTTGTCTGTAAGCCTCTGACTGGGGCTGTTACCTTTCTTTCAGAGATGCCCTGCCCAGTGAGGGGGAATCTAGAGAAGCAGTCTGGCCACAGCTGCTTTGCTGCACTGTGATGAATTTGCCAGTCCATACCTCCGAGACTCCTTGGAACTGTCAGGGAAAATGGCCTACTAAAGCCTCAGTAATGGCAGACGTCCCTCATCCCATGAAGCTCAATTGTCCTAGGTTGACTTCAGACTGCTGTGCTGGCAGTGAGAATTTCAAGCCAGTGGTTCTTAGCTTGCTAGGTTCTGTGGGAGTGGGACCTGCTGAGCGAGACCACTTGGCTCCCTGGCTTCAGCCTCCTTTCCAGGGGAGTAAATGGTTCTGTCTCGCTGGGGTTCCAGGCATCACTAGGGTAGGAAAAATACTCCTTCATCTAGCTCTGTGTCTGCCCAAATGGCCACCCAGTTTTGTGCTTGAAACCTAAGGCCCTGGTGGTGTAGGCACACAAGGGAATCTCCTGATCTACAGATTGCAAAAACCATGGAAAAAGTGTAGTAACAAGCTAGGCAGCACTGTCCCTCATGGCTCCCCTGGCTCGGGGAAAGAGGTCCCCTGGCCTCTTGAACTTCCTGGGTAAGCAACTCCCCACCCTTCTTCTGCTTGCCCTCCATGGGTTTGACCTGCTGCCTAACCAGTCCTAATGAGAGGAACGGGGTACCTCAGTTGGAAATGCAGAAATCACCTGCCATCTGGATTGGTCTTGCTGGGAGCTGCAAACCAGAACTGCTCCTATTTGGCCGTCTTCGGCTTCATCCTTTTGTGTTTTTAAGAACAGTCTTCCCTATGAATTTTACCAAAAAGTGTACTCAGTACAGTAGTTTACTAACTCTACTTTTGTCATACACTAGAAACATCTTAATATCTACAAAGACTAGATGTTGAAAATTAGGACTAATTTGTCCACTTATATGCACTATATACACAGCACAGTAAAAGAAAATGCAGACATAAGGGACAATGGTAAAGTGTGCCTCACCATAAACACACTGGTATTTCAATTACCCTTTGCCCTTTCTGCTCCTCTTTCCTCCCTGAGCCAACACACATATAGTAATGTGTACTGCTCAGATAAGTGGTTTGATCCATTTCCCAAAGACAATATTTCATATGAATCAAAAGGATATCTACAAAGTGTTATTTACTCCCTCTACTTTTAACATACTTTGTGCACTTCTAGAAAGACTAGATGTTTCAAATAAGGACTTAAATTTGTCCACTATATACACAGGTAACAATGGTTATATCTGAAAGTGTCTTCTAAATAGGAACATTCTGGTCTAAAATCTTTCATTCCTTCTAACTCCTCTCTACCACCAACCTAGTGGATATAGGCATATGTGTCATTTAGAACTGATGTTATCATTTCACTTCCAAAAGTCCTTTTCAGAAGATAGCCTTTCTATGAATTTCAACAAAGTGTACAAAAATAGAGTTAGTAAACTAACTCTCATAAATTGTTATAAATTGGCAACCTCTTTAATATCTAGAGACTAGACTAGATATTATAAAATTAAGACTACTTCATCCAGTATACACACAATATATACAGTATAGCAAAGTTAAATGCAATGCATGTAACATATAGGTAATGGATTAAGCTGAAATTTTCTAGTAAACATTAGCAAAACACTTTTTATTTTTTATTTTTTATTATTATACTTTAAGTTTTAGGGTACATGTGCACATTGTGCAGGTTAGTTACATATGTATACATGTGCCACGCTGGTGCGCTGCACCCACTAACTCGCATCTAGCATTAGGTATATCTCCCAACGCTATCCCTCCCCCCTCCCCCCACCCCACAACAGTCCCCAGAGTGTGATATTCCCCTTCCTGTGTCCATGTGATCTCGTTGTTCAGTTCCCACCTATGAGTGAGAATATGCGGTGTTTGGCTTGGATGAAATTGGAAATCATCATTCTCAGTAAACTATCGCAAGAGCAAGACACTTTTTGCAATATCTTCCTTCCAATCTCCCTCAACCCAATGAACATGTACAGAGAGGACGCTGTTCACAGAGGTGGTTCAACAATGCCAGTTCCAAAAAGTATTTCTCATTACTTTTAAAAGATATTTACAGAAAGTGTTATTCTACTACTTCTATTTTTAAATACACCAAGCACTTCCAAATATCTAGAAAGATTAAATATTTCATATAACTTGTCCACCATGTACATGGCACTGTTAAATAAAATTGCACACACATAACAACAGTTATAATCTGAGGTATCTTCTAAACATGACCATTTTGGCCTTGAAGTAGTCCTTCCTTTCTTCTCTCTGCCTTTATTTCAGTAGACAAGTATAGGCATGTGTCATACTTTAGAAATGGTTGAACAAATTTAGATCCAAAAGTTATTTACAGAAGACAAGGTTTCCTATGAATTTCAACACAAAGCTTACAAAAAGTGCTAATTTTACTAAGTACTTTGTCATACACTGCCAGCCTCTTTAACATCTAGAGACTAGATGTTGCAAAATTAGGACTCATTTGTTCATTATATGCGCTATATACAGAGCAAAACACAATGCACAAAACATACAGAAAAATGGTGCCTGAAAATGTGCAAGTATGAGCACACTAGCATGTTACCTTTTGCAGTTTCATCCGTCCCAGCTCCTCTAAACTACTGAGCAAGTATAGACAGTACTATACCACTCACAAAGATGGCTTAATAATTCAATTTCCAAAACACAGTATTTCCTATGAATTTCAGCAAAAAGACATTTACAAAGTGAAATTTTGCTACCTCTACATTTAACATACATCAGGCCCTTCTAAACATCTAAATAGACTAGCGGTTTCAGGTAAGAAGTTAATCTGTCCACTATGTACACTGCAGCCTTGAATAAACTGCATACATGTAACAATAGTTATAATTTGAAGGAGTCTTCCAAATGTGAACATTCTGGCCTAAAAATCTTTCCATCTCCATCAACCCAGTGGGCAAGAATGCTCAAGTTTTCAGAAGACAATCTTCCCTAGGAATTTAAAAACAAAATGTACAAAAATATTAGTTTGCTAACTCTACTTTTGTAATTCACTGGCAACCTCCATAACATCTAGAAAGACTAGATGTAAATTAGGACTTGTTTTCCTCTATATACACTTTATACATAGATAAGTAAAAGAAAATGCACAAACATAAGATATAATGGTTAATCTTGCCTCACTGTAAGCACACTGGTGGCACAGAGCTCTCTGCACAGCCTCCTCCTCCTCCTCTCCTGAACTGGCGCATAATACAATGCATATTACTCAACTTGTGGTTTGGCCCTTCCCCCTAAAACAATGTTTCATTCGAATTTTAACAAAAAGATACTTACAAGATGTGTTATTTTACTACTTCTAGTTTAAACATATATCAGGCACCTCAGAACATCTAGAAACACTAGACATTTCAAAAAAGTGTAGCATTGTCAATGATCTATACAGTAGTAGGGAATAAAACGCACACAAAACAATGGAAAGAATATGAGAATGTCTTCTGAATATGACTAGTCTGGCACAGAACCTTCTTCTTTTCCTTCTCAGGTCTTCTTCTTCATGCCCTCTAACCCACTGAACAAATGTGGTTGTGTCTGTCGTTCCTGGTATGGCTTCCAGAAGTGGTCCAACAATTCCATTGCGAAAAGCCATTTCCAGAAGACATCTATTTTCTATCATTTCTTTTTGAACAAATGAGAATTTATAAGATGTGTGATTTTCTAACTTTATCATACATCACAACCTCTTTCCATCTAGAAGGGCTAAATGTGGCAAATGTTTTCTATTTAAAAGTTGGGGCGGGGGCAGTTGAGAACCGCTTTCTCACTTTACACACGCAGGGCCTTCTATAAACGGTGGTAATTAAATCTTCCCAAAGGGTAGTGGGCATCTCCAATACGCCAAATGTGGCCTGTTCCACCACTTCTCTCTTCCCACATCCAGGTCTGGTAGAGAAGGAAGACCAGTGGCCAGGTGGCCGCTATCCGTCGTTGTCTGGGACACTGCTCACCTTCCGGCCGTTGTTAATGCCGTTGTTCCTGTCGTCAGGACTAGGTCGGTCTCGACCAGCTGGGACAGAGCGGTCCGATCTGCCCGCGCCCCGGTGGCAGGCGACCCACCTTCCCGCGCCCTCCACACCCTAACGGCCTCCGCTGCGAGTTGGGGCGGTCGCCATGCTTCCCGGCCCCCCACGCCCGCAGCCACTCAAATGCGCTGCATCCTAGCAGCTCGGCAGGGGCTTAGTTTAGGCCCCGCAGGGCTGGGCCGGGAGACATGGAGGCCGGCGGGGTCTGGGCTGAGAGAGGAGCTGCCATCAGTCACGGAGGTGGGGTAGGGAAGAGAGGTTCGCGGCTTCTTCAGGCCTGGGCCCGCGAGGGGAGCCACAGCGAGGGCACCTGGAGCCTGCAGGGCAGAGGCTGCGGGAGGTCCTGAACCCCCAGCCCCTCCGCAGGCCCATGGTCAGCGCGTCCCACCCGGGTCTCTGCCGGAACTCCACATTGTCTCTATCCAATCCACCACTGATGGGCAGGCCTATGTCTCTGCTGTTGTGAATAGTGCTGCCATGAACATGAGTGCGTGTGTTCTTTTGGTATAATGATATATTTTCCTTTGACTAAATACGCAGGAATGGTATTGCTGGGTCCAATGGTAGCTCTGTTTTTAGTTCTTTTGGAAAATCTCCAAACTGCTTTCCACAGTGGCTGAACTAATGTTCATTCTCACCAACAGTGTATAAGCGTTCACGTTTCTCTGCAGCCTCCGCAATATCTGTTGTTTTTTGACTTTTAAATAGCAGCCATTCTGACTGGTGTTAGATGATATCTCATTGTGGTTTTGATTTGCATTTCTCTGATGATTAGTAATGATGAACAATTTTTTCATCTAGACAGAAATCAATAGGGAAACACTAGACTTGACATACACTTTGGACCAAATGGACCTAAAGACGTTATAGAACATTTCATCCAACAGCAACAGAATATTCATTCTTCTCAAGTGCAAATGAGACATTATCCAGGATCAAATATTAGGTAACAAAATAAGACTCAACAATTTTAAGAAGATTGAAATCATATCAAGTATCTTTTCTGACCACAAAATTATGAAAGTAGAAATGAATAGAAATAAATAATAGGGGAAAATTTGAAAATATTACAAATGTGGAAATTAACCAACATGCTCTTGAATAAACAATGGGTTAATGAAGAAATCAAAGGGAAGTTAAAAAATATCTTAAGACAGATGAAAATGAAAATGCAACGTACCACAACTTATGGGATGTAACAAAAGAAGTTCTTAGCAGGAGGAAAGTTTATAGTAATAAATGCCGATATTGAAAAAGAAGAAAGATCTCAAACAACCTAATGTTACATTTCAAGAAACTAGAAAAAGAGAAGAGCAAACTAATCCCAAAGTTAGCAGAAGGAAGGAAATAACAAAGATCAGAGCAGAAATAAGTAAGAGATTAGAAAACAAAAGAACACATTTGCAAAACTAACAGTTCAGTTTTTGAAAAGATAAAAACAATTGACAAAACTTTAGCAGACCAACTAAGAAAAAAAAGAAGACTCTAATAAAATAAGAAATGAAAGAGGAGACATTAAAATTGAAACTACGCAAGTACAAAAGATCATAAAAGAATACTACGAACAATTTTACACCAACAAATAGGATGACCTAGAAGAAATGGTTAGATTTCCAGAAACATAACAACAATGAATCATGAAAAAATAGAAAATCTGAACAGACTAATGAGTAAGGGGGTTGAATCAGTGATAAAAGTGTCCTAGCAAAGAAAAGCCCAGAACCTGATGGTTCATGGATTGGAGGAATTAATATTATTAAAATGTCTGTGCTGCTGAAAGTGGTATACAGATTCAATGCAATTCCTATAAAAGTTCTAATGACCTTTTTGTTTCACAGAAATAGAAAAAGCAATTCAAAAATTCATATGGAATGACAAAAATCTTAAGTAGCTAAAGCACTTTTGAGCAAAAAGACCAGAGCTGGAGGCATCACACTACCTGATTAAAGATATATTACAAAGTTATAGTATTCAAAACAGAAAGGTACTGGCATAACAACAGACACATGGACCAATGTAATGTGATAGAGAGCCCAGACATAAACTCATGCATTTGTGATTAATTGATTTTTGCCGAAGATGCCAAGAATAAACACACTATGGGGAAAGGACAGTTTCTTTAATAAATGATGCAGGGGAAATCAAATACCCACATACAGAAGAATGAAATTGAACCCTTATCTCACACCATGTGTAAAAAGCCCACTAAAAATGGTTTAAAGATTTAAATGCGAGACCTGAAAATGTAAAACTACTAGAAGAAAGCATAGGGAAAAATGTCCCTGAAATTAATCTTGGCAATACTTTCTTGGTGATGATCTCAAAAGCTCAGGAAACCAAAGCAGAAGTAGACAAATGGGATTACCTGAAACCAAAAGCTTCTCTACAACAAAGTAAATAACAGATTGAAGAGACAACCCATGGACTGGGAGAAAATATTTACAAACCATACATGGCTAATATCCAAAATATGTAAGAAATGCAAACAACTTAAATTTGTTAGCAAGAAAACAAATAACGCCATTTAAAACTGAGCAACGGACTTGAATGGACATCTTTCAAAAGACCAATAGATATATAAAAAAGTGTCTACATCACTAATCATCAGGGAAATGCAAATTAAAACAAAACAAAGAGATATCACCTCATACCTGTTAGAATGACTATTATCAATAAACTAAAAGGTAATAAGTACTGACAAGGATGTGGGGAATCCTTATATACTAATGGCAGGAATGTAAATTAATACAGGCATTATTGAAATCAGCATGGAGATTCCTCAAAAAACTAAAGATAGAATTACCATAGGATCTAGCAATTATATTTCTGGATACATAGCCAAAGAGATTGAAATTTGTATTTTAAAAATATGTTAGAGACCAGCCTGACCAATATGGTGAAACCCCATCTCTACTAAAAATACAAAAAAAATTAGCCGGGTGTGGTTTGCACCTGTAGTCCCAGCTATTCAGGTGGCTGAGACAGGAGAATTGCTTGAACCTGGGAGGCCAAGTTTGCAGTGAGCTGAGATTATGCCACTGCACTCCAGCCTGGGCTACAGAGCAAGACTCCATCTCAAAAAAAAAAAAAATGGGTAGATTTTCCTCTAATTTGGTTTTAACGTCTCTCTTTGAAGAGTGGCTAGAAACTCTAGCCTGGCTCTGATGGGCTCCAGTGGAGGTGGTTGTGGTTGTGGATGTTTTCGGTGTTCTTTTCATGGAATACTTCCTTATCCTGATGGAGAGCTAATGCCTAATTGTCCTATTTATGACCAGGTGTCCCTCTCACTGGAAACTTGTTTTCACTGGCAGACACCATTGTGGCTTTTGTCTGACTAGTGTGTCCAGTTCATTCCTACCAAGATTGCCACTCTCTAAGGGAGCCTTGTCCAGAAAAAAAAATTAATTTTAGGTGTGTCAGGTGAGACGCCAAGAAGACACATAAAAAAAAATAGTATAAGTAGTTTTATTACTTAAAGATTCCAGAGAGAAGAGGGCAACTTGCCTCACAGGCCTAATGGGAGAAAGGGCATCCCTTAGAGACATGCATGTGCAACCAGTGGGTGGGTAGCGAGAGAGAGTGAGTGACAGACCAGAAAGCCAAAGCCCTTATTGGAGTACACAGCATTATCCAAGCAGGGAGTAACTGATTGCTGGGTTTAGAGCAAGCAGGCATGATTTCTTGGGAGTTAAGTTGTATTGAGAGGTGTTCACTGCTGCAAATCTGCAGTCCATGTGGGGTGTGGGGATCAGTGGGATAAGTCAAGTAGGTTGTATCTAGGTGTCCCACACGGAGGTGGTAACCAAGAGGCCAAATATCTGGATTGACCACCTGAAGAAACTGGGAGAGGAGAACTCAAAATTGTGATAAGGGTGACTAAGTCCTGCTTCTGGCATGAGGAAGTTCAATTATATATTGAAAATGAACGCTGAGGTAACATAAACTCATAAGAATTCACTACAGATATCTGCACTACCATGTTCATTGTAGCATTTTTCACAATAGCTGAGGTATGAAAGGAACCTAAATGTCCATCAACGGATAAACAGATAAATATATAAAAGGGATATAATGTGATATATATGAACCACATTATCTATATAAAATGGAATACTATTCAGCCTTAAAGAAAAAAGGGAAATTCTGTCTTTACAACAACATTCATGAACCTGCAGGACATTATGCGAAGTGAAAGAAGCCAGACACAGAAGGACAAATACCACATGATCTCACTCTTATGTGGAATCTAAAAAAGATAAACTCATACAAGTGGAGAGTAGAATGATAGCTACCTGGGGGGCAGGGGATGGAGAAAGGGGGGATTTTAAACAAGTAGATTTAAATGTTCTCACTATAAGAAAAATAAGTATGTGAGGTGATGACTGTGTTAGCTGGACTTAATCATTCCATATTGCACATATACATATATCAAAAGATCACATTGTATCTAATCAATATATAAAATTATTTGTCAATTAAAATAATAAAAGATTGGAGTAATATTTAAGATTTTTTTAACATTTTGCAGGAAAAATCTTGGAATTGAATTTAAAAGACAACTGGGAAGGCATAAATAATATAGGTCAGTCTCAAAGAGCCCCTCATTAATAAGGAACAGATATGCAGTTTAGTCTTTATGTATTCTAGTTTTTCTGTTGAATGACTCTCAAATCTCTCCTTTTTTTCCAGTTGTCTTGTACATTTGAGCCTTAGCCCCACGGGAAACTGAAAAAAAAAATCGGACGGCTCAGTAAAACCTCTTCCTTTCATTGTAAATGTTACTCACAGCATCTTTTCCCATGTTTGTTGGTGACAAATTCACTGTCATCTCAGTAAGAGTATAACATCATGCTGAAGATATTTCTGTGAAGAGTTTTGTACTGAGAACATCATACCAGGACAACTCCTTGAAGGGCATTAATTGCAGCTTTGGGATTTATACTCCCAAAGGCTGCAGTCAATGAAAGAGTATCCCGTTATTCTTTTTGTTTCCATAAAGATTACATTTGCTCTGGGATAAAGGGTCCATCCCGTGATACCTTGAATGCCCTAAAGTATTCCCACATTCTGCTAAAAAGCAGATCTTTTGGACAAACTCAGGCTCTCTTTTCTGTAGCAATGACAATCACAGTTATTTCCAGACTCTGTTCTTCATAGTTAGATTTAAAACATTGGCAAAAATGTTATAAGAAGGCAATTAGGTTGATGTTTTTAGGTTGTATGGCAACCAGAGAGCCCCTTCATCAGTTTATACCTGATGAGGTTGTAGGCCAGGTAGAGAGTGACAGGGAACAGGGACAAACACAGGAAGGTCAGTACTGAAAGAAGTTGGTGCACTTCTTAAGGGGTAGACAGCTTCCATATTTCAAAATTGCAGAAAGTGTAGATTTTAAATGTTCTTACTACAAAAATATGATGGTTGTGGGGTGATGGATATGTTAACTAGCTTAATATAATCATTCTATAATGTATATATACATCAAAACATTACAGTGTACTCCATAAATATATACAATTATTACTAGTCAATGAAAAATTAAGAAAACAAACCAGATATAGTATAAAGGAATGGATGTGACACAAATTGGCATAATGTCTCTTAATAATAATTGGGGAAGGAAGAGACACTCAGCCATCCATTTTCCCTATAGTATTTGATTTAAAAAAAGAGAGAAGATATTTTATTCTACAACTCATAAAAGCTACATTTGATAGGGTCTTCATTTCCCTCTTTTCCACCAAGAAGAAAATTGAAGCTGAGACTTTTCTCTACATGAGTTCTGGGGGTTTTTTTGTCCCTTATTTCCTATCCCTTTTATCAACTCCGGAGGAATGCTGAAAGATGGGTCATATAACAGATAGTTATCAGATTCCACCTTTTAATTACTGTAATAAGGAACTCAGGCAGCTGCATTAGGAAAGAAAATTAGGTCGGCATCAGCAAAAGTATCCACAGCATTTGAGTTCAAGTATCTTATGGCATATTACCTTTCATCTTAGGGAGATTTAAAAAAATCCTTGGAATTTTCCCATGATTTCTCAAAAGGTTAATGCTCATTCCATTACCAACAATATGGAAAAATGTACAGTATCTTTGTACCAGTCTGGAGCATTTGCACAGATTTGGCCCAAGTTCAATGTTCCTAGCTCTCCAGCTGTAACTCAACCAGTTAGGCAACTCCTTACATCTTTTTCAAGAGTCAAGATTACAATATTTGAGTTATTAAAAGTTTTTCAAAACACTGAAGGTGAGTCGGGTGTAGATATTAGTTTTTTGAGACAGAGTCTTGCTCTGTCACCCAGGCTGGAGGGCAATGGCATGATCTCAGCTCACTGCAACCTCCGCCTCCTGGGTTCAAGCGATTCTCCTGCCTCAGCCTCCAGAGTAGCTGGTATTACAGGTGCCCACTACCATGCCTGCCTGGCTAATTTTTGTATTTTTTAGTAGAGATGGTGTTTCACCACGTTGGTCAGGCTGGTCTCGAACTCCTGACCTCAGGTGTTCCACCTGCCTCGGCCTCCCAAAATGCTGAGATTACAGGCATGAGCCACCACGCCTGGCCTCTTTTGCCAAATTTATCAGAGAGTATAAGAGGAAGAGTTGGCTGTGGCAGGAGGGGAGCAGAAGGGGGATGGCAAAACTATTTAGGAATATTGAAATGCTGGGTTCCTGTATTTTATTGCAAAAACTATATCATAAAAGAGTGTTTATCTTTCTCATGCAAGATTGGTAATGTGCAAGAGAAAATAAGCAACTGAAAATCAAGCTATCAAAGCATATTTGAATTTCTTCATTTTAAAAAAATAACTACAAGGTGAATTTTCTGGATTTTATACAATGTTCACGTATCTTTCTACTAATATTAGTTAATGTCTGTTCAGAAGCTCCATTAAAAATTGTGGAAAACCCAGAAAATACAAATTATAAATTGTGACTCAGAATTTAAAGTATAGTTCAGTTATTGGCCTAAAGCATATACAGTTTTGTAGAAACCATGTTTAAGTCTTCTTGTCCTTGTCTAACAAACTTGTTATACATTCTTTCAACTTCGCATACCACATTCAGACCTCTCTTCACTGTTGTGCATCCAAACACTCTCCATTTCTCTCTTACCAACCTATGTTTTTGTTAGACTCTGTAATCTTTATGTCTTCCAGTAATATAGTCTCATTTACCTTTGGAAGCATTCTATCACCGATCACTCTATTTTGCTGTATTAATCAGCTTTGTGTATATTGTGAATTTTTATAAGTTGGTGTGTGCGTGCATATTCTCTTTAAACTTTGATTTGTGCATTATTTTATTTGTCTAGAAATAAACTGCTAGCATAAATAGCATTTGATTCTTTCTATAATCATATTCAATTATTTCTTTTCAGTTAATATTTTAAAGTGACTATCTAATTGCTTTTTAATATGGGAAATTCCTATCTATAAGTAAGATCAGTAAGACTGCTGTTATTCCTTTCTCTGTAATTGCAAAATTGGAAATAGCCTGAAAATATAAAAATAATTTGACTTTTTAAAGTAAAAAATCATTTTTCATAAATATTGTGTTCCTGATTATGGACTATCTTAGTCTTCATTAATCCAAATGTTAATTCAGGGATGTATATAAAGAACTCAGTAACTTGAGAAGCTATTGCTTGTATCTGTAGCTGGATAAATATCTCAATGAAGCATATAAAGGGAACTGTATAAAAATTCTACTACCATTATGGTGCACACTCTCTGGAAGTGGGATACTTTTGTCTTCAATCTGTTTGCAAGTGAGCGGTTGACAATGCATGGACAGACTTTGAGTTTATGTGGTTCTTTCTTTAGGTATAAGAAAAAGATGAATGATGATTAAAAAAAATGCAAGTTCGGAAGACTTCTTTATTCTACTTGGATTTTCTAATTGGCCTCAGCTGGAAGTAGTTCTCTTTGTGGTTATCTTGATCTTCTACCTGATGACACTGACAGGAAACCTGTTCATCATCATCCTGTCATACGTGGACTCCCATCTCCACACACCAATGTACTTCTTCCTTTCAAACCTCTCATTTCTGGATCTCTGCCACACCACCAGCTCTATCCCTCAGTTGCTGGTGAATCTCCGGGGCCCGGAAAAGACCATCTCGTATGCTGGTTGCATGGTTCAACTTTACTTTGTTCTTGCACTGGGAATCGCAGAGTGTGTCCTACTGGTGGTGATGTCGTATGATCGTTATGTAGCTGTGTGTAGACCTTTGCATTACACTGTCCTCATGCACCCTCGTTTCTGCCACTTGTTGGCTGCGGCTTCTTGGGTAATTGGTTTTACTATCTCAGCACTTCATTCCTCCTTTACTTTCTGGGTACCCCTTTGTGGACATCGCCTAGTGGATCACTTCTTCTGTGAAGTTCCAGCACTTCTGCGTTTATCATGTGTTGACACCCATGCAAATGAGCTGACCCTCATGGTCATGAGCTCCATTTTTGTTCTCATACCTCTCATTCTGATTCTCACTGCCTATGGTGCCATTGCCCGGGCTGTACTGAGCATGCAATCAACCACTGGGCTTCAGAAAGTGTTTAGGACATGTGGAGCCCATCTTATGGTTGTATCTCTCTTTTTCATTCCAGTCATGTGCATGTATCTCCAGCCACCATCAGAAAATTCTCCTGATCAGGGCAAGTTCATTGCCCTCTTTTATACTGTTGTCACACCGAGTCTTAATCCTCTAATCTACACTCTCAGAAACAAGCATGTAAAAGGGGCAGCGAAGAGACTATTGGGGTGGGAGTGGGGGAAGTGACAGGGAAATCATGTTGTCTGTTGTCATTGTTTTTCCTAGGGTCTTAGCCATCTTGAAAGGTGGTTTCCCTGCTTCTTTGTGATTTATTTTTGTTCTAACAGCTCACAAAACAGAATAGTTCAGTATCACATTTGTTGCTCTTTTTATTATTTAGTTCTGAAATATTATGTTGAGATAAAGTTTCTGATTAGTGCCACTTTGTTCTTTTACAATTGTATATTTTATTTCTGTGAAAATTGTGGACTGTGGTTTCAACGTAAATAAATGTGCATGCGAATAGTTATGAGGAGATTATTTCAAAAATGTTGGGAATATTTCTAACAATGTGCTAAATTATGAACTGATGATATATACAGAAAGAGAAGGGCAATATTGCAAAGACTTAGGCTAAAAAGGTTTTTGGTTATTGAATAAACCTTAAATGAAGCTAAAAATAGTCACAGCAAAGAAAAATGGTAAACATAATGAATAACATTGTTTAAGATATGGTAAAGGATATATCATAAGTATTTGGTTGAAAGACACTTTTTAAAGACACTAAATTATCTAATTTATCCTGTAGGTCTACATACTTGTCACATTGAACAGTAAACTAATATCTCTTTAAAATGGCTCTTTCGTTCATCTGTCCATTTATTCATTAACTTATTCTTTATTAGCTAAATCTTATTGAATGTGTACTCTCTTCCAGTTTGTGAAATTCTTGGTAACGTGTATAAATATAACATACTCTGTCTGAACAGAACACACTCTCTGTCAGGAAAAATGGCAACATAAAAGATGAAGTATCTGTGCATGGCTTAATTTGTCACTGGGGGTAATGCTAATACATTAAGACAGCTTTTAAAAGTCAGAAACAATAAACTCTGATTACTCTTCAGATTGTATAAATCTTTCACTTTTTAAAAATCAAAAACAAGGCCGAGCACGGTGGCTCACACCTGTAATCCCAGCACTTTGGAAGGCCGAGTCAGGTGGATCATGAGGTCAGGAGACCAAGACCATCCTGGCTAACAAGGTGAAACCCCATCTCTACTAAAAATACAAAACAATTAGCTAGGCATGGTGGCACATGCCTGTAGTCCCATTGAAGCTAAACTTTTTTTTCACTTTACATGAACATTTTGAAATCACTACTAAATTCAATATTTTCAACATATTATTTCATCCGTATGTAAAATTATTGGGATTGCAATTGTTATGTTTTCTATAATCACATTTTTGAAAATAACCTGAAAATGCTGAAAAGAAAAGTTCCTTATTCATTAACAAAGAAAAATTTTGTGTTTTATGGAAATTATCTTCCTTAGCTAGGTTAGAAATTTCTTTCAATTACCATTTACCTAGAAGTCACCATAAAATGAATGGGAAGAACTCGATAGTTATTCTTCTATAAGGCAAATATATGAATAAAATATAAAATTAAAAAATTGTTTTCTATTTTTTGTGACTTTTTATTATGGTAAAATTTCAAACTTAGAGAAGAATTGCAAAAAAGTAGTACAAAGACTGACATTTACCCTATAACCAGATTAAGCATTAGTTTACATTTTCCCCCAAAGCTTTGTTATATCATCTATCTATCTATCTATCTATCTATCTATCTATCTATATCTCTATCATCTATTATATCTATCTATCTATCTATCTATCTATCTATCTATCTATCTATCATCTATCTCTTTTTCTGCACTAGCTGAGAGTAAGTTGGAGATGCCACGTACCTTTACACCAAGTACTTTTTTTTTTAATTATTAGGTCATTTTTATTCCTTTTAAATTTTCTATTTTGTGTTAATTATTTGTCTGCATTCTATGTACATAACTGTATTGGAGTTTCAGTTTCATATTAAGTTGTATAAACTTTTGTGTTCCAAGGTTATACAAATTCATATGTATTTTCTTAGTTCATTGCCTCTTATTTTGGTTTGTTACAATTTGTGATGTTAAAAGTCTAAAAATGTGTGCGTGGTTAATACTATCTATTGTTCATTAACATTGTGGTTTCTTCCTTTTCTTAATGCTATAATGTTCTTTTATTATAATTATTATTATTATACTTTAAGTTCTACGGTACTTGTGCACAACCTGCAGGTTTATTACATATGTATACATGTGCCATGTTGCTGTGCTGCACCCATTAACTCGTCATTTACATTAGGTATATCTCCTCATGCTATCCCTCCCCCCACCACACAACAGGCCCCGGTGTGTGATGTTCCCCTTCCTGTGTCCAAATGTTCTCATTGCTCAATTCCCACTCATGAGTGAGAACATGCGGTGTTTGGTTTTTTGTCCTTGGGATAGTTTGCTGAGAATGATGGTTTCCAGCTTCATCCATGTCCCTACATGGACATGAACTCATCATTTTTTATGGCTGCATAGTATTCCATGGTGTATATGTGCCACATTTTCTTAATCCACTCTATCATTGTTGGACATTTGGGTTGGTTCCAAGTCTTTGCTGTTGTGAATAGTGCCGTAATAAACATACGTGTGCATGTGTCTTTCTAGCAGCATGATTTATAATCCTTTGGGTATATACCCAGTAATGGGATGGCTGGGTCAAATGGTATTTCTAGTTCTAGATCCCTGAGGAATCACCACACTGACTTCCACAATGGTTGAACTAGTTTACAGTCCCACCAACAGTGTAAAAGTGTTCCTATTTCTCCACATCCTGTCCAGCACCTGTTGTTTCCTGACTTTTTAATGATTGCCATTCTAACTGGTGTGAGGTGGTATCTCATTGTGGTTTTGATTTGCATTTCTCTGATGGCC
>NT_167244.2:530578-583167 GCF_000001405.40 Homo sapiens
GGCCATGGGACAAAGAACCCCCTTTTTAGCTGAACTAAGGAAAAGTCCTGCAATATTTTTTGGCACACAATGTGAGGGTTTGAGAAGCAATGAGTGAGGTGCAAACTCACAGTTCCACATGGCTGGGGAGGCCTCACAATCATGGCAGAAGGTGAAGGAGGAGCAAAGTCACATCTTACATGGCATCAGGCAAGAAGAGTGTGCAGGGAAAATTCCCTTTATAAAACCATCAGATCTTGTGAGACTTATTTACTATCACGACAACAGCATGGGAAAGACCCATTCCCATGATTCAGTTACCTCTCACTGGGTCCCTCCCATGCTCCCATGCAGGAATTATGGGAGCTACAACTGAAGATGAGATTTGGGTGGGGACACAGCCAAACCACATCAAACACTGAAATAGAAAAAAAAAGACTTGAAACAAACCCACAGATCTGTGGAAATTTATTTATGACAAAGACAACACTACAGAAGAATAGAGAAAAATTATAATTTTCAATATATGGTGCTGGACCAATGGGATATTAATTAAAAAAATAAATTTGTCCCAACTTATACTGTGTATAAACATCTATTCCAGATAGATTGTAGATTTAGATGTGAAAGGGAAAAAGTATCTTCTAGAATAGGGTACGGAAACTTTTTTGGAAAGGCCAGATAGTAAATATTTTAGGCATTGTGTGTCATCAGGTCTCGGTCACAACTACTCAACTCTGTAGTTGTAGTGCTAAAGCAGCCATAGACAAAAGTAAGTAACTGGGTGTGGCTGTGTTCCTATAAAACTTTATAAAACAGACACAAGTGGCCCACTGGCTACAGTTTCCCAACTCCTGTTTTAGAAATCAATATGAAATAATAACTTTATGGTATTATTAGGTATTATTAGGAAGAGGAATTATTTCTGTAACTGGTCTTAAAAATCACTGACAGGTAAAAAATGATGAATACACTTCAATCATTGAAACTACAAAATTCTGTTCATCAGGTGACACCATTAGGAGTCAAAAGACAAATCACAGAAAAGGAAGAGATATTTTTAGTGCTTGTGCTTGTTAAAAGGCATATCCAGAACATATAAATACTTCATATCAATAAGAAAAATAGTAAAAAATTGCAAAAACCTGAATAGATAAATCTCAAAGGGTAAACATAAGTGGCCAATGCATTTGTGAAATGGATGGTGCTCGTTTGCTTCAATAATCATAAAAGCAAAAATTATACCCATCATGCACTCACATCAGATTGACTAAAATTAAAAAGAAACCTAAGAAAACCAAATATTGATGAAGATGTAGAGCAATGGAAACACATACACTGATAAGTGTTTAATATGGTGCAACCACTCTGGAAAATTTTGGCAGTGTTTCAAAAAACCTGAGTACAAATATACAATGAGGATATATATACATATGCAAGATGAGCCAAAATACATGCATAAAATATTCTAAGCAGAATTGTTTCTGAGGTTTGAAAACGTGAAAAACTATAATTTTTATGAAGACAGAATAAATAAATAAGTTGTATATGTATATTATGAAGTATTTACAGCTGTGGAAATAAGTGAAGTACAGAAATGCTTAATGCATAGATGAATCTTAAAAATATAATGTTATTTGAAAGAATTCAAGTACAACAGAATCCATGTATATAAAAATTAAAAAAATTAAACCATATTATTTGGAGATGCATAGTTAGGTAAGACATCTGTAAAGGAAAGGAAAAGTGTGAAATCTATATATGTAAGAATAATAATTAATGTTGAGAGAGAAGGATAGGGATTATAACCATGAAGCGGCACTTTGGCCACCTCTGAGTACATTTTTCTAAAACTTGACTTGGGTGGGCTTTTGGGTGTTCCATCACAGTGTATTGTACAATAATTCTTTAAGGTGTACATTTATGTTCTTTTGATCTGAAAATTTCTCCTGTCTGCTTTTGGTAACTTCCTTTTCTCTGTTTTCTCTCTCTTCTATTTTTTGAAAGATGTTGGAATTCCTGGAAAATGTGGCGTTCTTAATAGTCATAAAAGTACTAAATATATACTGCAAAATGCTAGGTGTGTCTCTGAGATTTAGGACAACTTCTGAAAGTACTGTCATTAACGGAGAAGCTGGAATAAAAAGAAAAGTCACTCCAGAGCTTAAGTAGTTCCTACAAGTATCTCAATTTATGATGCTTCAAAACAGCTATTGAAACAATTTTACTTTAACTTATCTAATGGAGTATTTAGACTTCAAAATCCTATTAAGTTCATTTTTCATCCTCAAGAACTACAAAAATATCAAAATCAAATATTCTAGATTTTTCATTTTATTTAAGTTTTCTACTTTCTCAAGGGAGAAAGAGGGTATAAGGAATAAAATTAATCACTCTAGCTTTTTTAATAAAAAGTCTTTTTGGCATGAATGGAATTATGTGACTGTATAAATAACTAGGACATGAGCAAGAGATGGAGCAAGAAAAAGTGATATTGGATATTGGATCAGAAACATAAAGGAAGTTTTCAAAAATTCTTTTTCAAGTTACAAGTTGGTAACATAGCTCTGAACTATCCCATGAATCAACATTTATCTTCAAGACAAAAATCAAATTTATCTTCAGTCAAAATATGGAAAGGATAATAACTCAACAAAAATGAGAAAGAAATGCATTTAAAAACACACTTCAGAAAAAGACAGAAAGACCATTTCAATAGCCAAATAAATCACCTTTCTATGTGTCAGTTTTCTTGAAGCACTCAGAGAAAAAATGTAGAACATCTAAAACCAGGTGACATGGCAATACCTCCATGCTCATCCCCAAAATAAGTAGTAAAAACTTGGAAGGCCAAGTGGGAAAGAAAAAAGCATTATCTTAAAGATGATTATTGGAACTGATAAAAATATTTTTCTTTTGTGATCACAAAAATTGAGCTCCTTGAGTAATTATCTAAGCAGAGAAAGATAGGGGGAAATTACTGTGGTTAATTAACATGAGATCTTTTCAAAGATGATTGATAACTAGAACTCTTGGTCTTCTTGGTTAACGACTAGCTTTGCTGCTGTCATCTTCAGGCTGGAGATTTGCCTGTGTAAAAATATTCCTGGGACTGGTTGGAGCAAAAGTGTTGTACCTTAAAATAGAGGGCAATGAAAACAGCTTTTAATCTCCTTAAATTAATGACAATATTTAGTTAACATAATCAAAGGAGACTATTAGAGTTAAATTGGTCAATATCAATATAATTGTAACATATATAATCCAAAAGAAATCAGTGCATAGCATGTTATTTTTAGTGTTGGCACTTTAGTTTATAATTTCATTTTAAATATGAGTTTTGTACATATACCAATCATCATGGATTAAGTATTCAATAAATACATTCGGCTTAATTATAATTTTTATTATAATTTTATTATATTTTTAATGGATATTATCTTTATCTCAGGTGTAGACAATTTATTTACAAAATAAATTGTCTACATTTTAGATTGGGAAGATCAATTGCCATATTAGAAATTGCTGGGAGGAAGAATCAATGTCCTCTTTTTTCCATGCAATCTTTTTCTTTTCCAGTTAGCCTCTTCATGGCCCCCTTGAACTCCTTATTCCTTACCGTATAAATTAATGGGTTCAAGCTGGGAGTAACAATGGAGTAAAATATACTGAGAAGTTTGCCCTCATTCTGATTTGGACTGTTTCCTGGCTGTATATACATGTATGTAACTGTCCCACAGAAGATGGATACCACAACGAGATGGGAGGAACAGGTCCCAAATGCTTTTTGTCTTCCTGCTGCAGACTTGATCTTGAGTACAGCCACAGCAATGAAACCATATGACACAAGAATAAGAAGAAGAGGAACAAGAACTATAATCAGGCACATGGCAAATGTGGTTACCTCCATGGCTGTGGTGTCCACACATGCAATCTTGAATCTTGATCATTGCAGACATTTCACACACACAAAAAAGTGGTCTAGGTGGTGGTTCCTACATCGAGGAAGACTCGTGGCATAAGGGGAAGGTATGATGCAATTAATCACACCAACTACCCAGGAGATGACCACAAGGCCCTGGCAGAGTTGGAGGTTCATTATGGTCATATGATGCAGAGGCTTGCAGATAGCATTGAGTCGATCATATGACATCATGGACAGAAGGATGCATTCAACTGAGTACAGTGCCACATCAATGAAAAGTTGAAAGGCACACCCACCAAAGGTAATTCTTTTGTCTTTGCCCCAGATACTGACCAACATTTGTGGGACTATATTTGTGGTATAACAGAGATCCAAGATGGCCAAATTTCTAAGGAAGAAGTACATGGGGACTTGGAGATGGTCATCTAGGAAAGACAATAGGATGATGGCCATATTTCCCATGAAGGCAATAGTGTAGAAGAAAAAGACAACCCCAGAGATCATCATCTGAAGCTGAGGCTGCCCTGTGAATCCAAGGAGTATAAAACCACTGAAGTGGCTATCATTGATCATTCTGTTTTTTCTTAAGGGAAATCCATGTCATCATTTTGGTAAAGGGCAACGGTGTGATTTTCTTATTTATTTTGCATTGGGTTTGGTGAACTTCTCGGATTTATGGTGGTGTCATTAATTTTGGAAAATTCTCAACCATTATCTCTTAAGATTTTTTTCTGTTTATTTCTTTTTCTTATATTCTGGAGCTCCAAGTACTCATGTGTCAGAGGAGATAATATTATCCTACATAACTTGGATGCTTTTTCTTTTTTCTCTTTGGGTTGAAGTTTGGATAATTTCAATTGACTTGTATTTCAGTTCATGAATTCTTTCCTCTACTGAGTCCAGCCTATTGTTAAGCCCACCAAATTAATTATTTATTTCTTATATTATTTCTGGTATGTTTTTTTTTATATCCAACATTTCCATTTGGTTCTTCTGTACAATGCTAATCTCTTTGTTGAGATCTCCCCTTTGTTCATAAATCTTGTCTGCCTTTACCAGCGAAATGTTAAAACATATTTAAAAAATTCTTATCTGATGATTCTAATGTCTGAACCATGTCTGGATATACTTCACTTGAATATTTCCTCTTTTTAGCTTCAAATGACTCCTGTTTCTTTCTTTTTCTTTTTTCTTTTTCTTTCTTTTTTTTTTTTTTTTTTTTTTTTTTGAGACGGAGTCTTACTCTGTTACCCAGGCTGGAGTGCCTGGGTGATCTCTGCTCACTGCAACCTCTGCCTCCCAGGTTCAAGTGATTCTCCTGCCCCAGCCTCGCTAGTAGCTGGAATTACAGGCGTGCACTGTTTCTATTTTTCTTGCTTGTTAGTGTGCCTCATAGTGTTTAATTTTTATTTTATGCCAGGCATTGTGTGTCTTGGTCAGCTTGGGCTGCTCTAACAAAATACCACAGGCTGGGTGGAATAAACAACAGACACTTATTTCTCAAAGTTCTGGAGGCTGGGAGGTTTAAGATAAAGGAGTAGGAGGTGCAGTTCCTGATGAGGCCCTACTTCTTGACTTGCAGACGGCTGCCTTTTCACTTGCTGTTCCCTCAAGTGGTAGGGAAAGAGTGTGCTCTTCCTTTTATGGTCCCTCTTCCTTTTATGAGGTCACTAATCCCCTTATGGAGGCCCACCCTCATGACCTGATTTAAACCTAATTACTTTCCAAAGGCCCCATCTCCAAATACCATCACATGGAGGGTTAGGGCTTCAACATATGAATTTTGGGGGTACACAGACATTCAATCCATAGCATTCTGCCTTTTGTCTCCCAAATTAATGTTATTCTTACACACACAAAAAAAATGATCTTATTTCAGTAGCCCCCAAAGTCTTAACTTATTCCAAGATCAACTCTAAAATTGGAAGTCCTGTCTCATCTAAATATCATCTAAATCAGATATAGGTGAGGCTCAAGATACGATTAATCCTGAGGAAAAATTCATCCCCAGTTATAAGTCTGTGAAACCAGATAAATTACACACTTCCAAAATACAATGATAGATTAGACATAGAATAGGCATTCTCATTCCAACACCTGGAAGAAAGAAAGGGGTGGCAGGTTCCAAGCAAATCTAAAATCTTGTAATGCAAATACCATTAGATCTTAAAGCTCAAGGATAATCTTTGGTTTCATAATTTGCCTTCTGGGTCTACTGGGATGACAGTCCCACTTTCTGGACAAACTGGGATAGTAGATAGTCGGACCTCTGTAGCTCTGCAGGGAAGGGGTCATGTCCTCATGACTCTTCATTGTACCCAAAAGGCTCTGGCAGCCACTCTGACACCAACTGCCCATTGAAACTGAGATGATAGCCCCAACCTTTAAATCTGAGGTGGCAGCCCAGATAATCTCTAAAACACCTTTAGGGTCTTTCTTCCCTTGTCTTGAAGAGTAATATCACACATTCACATCTGAATAGCTCTATGGTCCAGTCCCAAAGAATCTAAGAAGTCTGACAGACTTTCTTCATTTTATCCCATTCCCATCTCCTTCAGTTCAGACTGACAGTGTTTCTGCTTATATAATCCCGTAATCTCTTTATCGAGTGAGGGTCCAGCCACACCTTTGGTGGTTTTTTTTTTTTCTCAGCATGCTTTCTCATCTTTTGCAGTGTGGATAGGCTGAGAACTTTCCAATTTTTTAAGTTCCAGCTCCTTTTTTTTTTTAACAATTCCTTTTTTGATTCATTTATCTCTTTTTTTTTTCTTGCATCTTAGTAGAAGCAGTCAGGATGAACAAAGTGACTCCTTCAACACTTTGATTAGAAATGTCAGCTATGTTCACTGTTAATTTCATCACTTACTAGTTTTACATTCCACAAAACAATAAAACATGAACATAATTCAGCCAAGTTCTTTACCACTTTATAAAAAGAATCACTTTTTCTCAATTGTCCAATAGCTTATTCTTCATTTCTGTCTAAGCCTTCCCCAGAATGACCTTTACCATACATATTTCTGCCAACATTCTGTTTATAATTATTTATGTATTCTATAAGAAAATGGAAGTTTTTCTCCAGCAGTCTTATATTCTGTATAAGCCCTAAACAGAATAGCTATTATTGTGCATATTTATAGCATGCATCCCCAAATTCCTTAACTTCTACCCCTTTTCCAGTTTTAAAGCCACTTCTACATTTTCAGCTACATCCCACTCCTGGTACAAAAATATGTCTTAGCTCAGGATGTTATAACAAAATACCATAGCTTGGGTGGCTTAAACAACAGACATTTATTTCTCATAATTCTGGAAGCTGGAATGTCCAAATTTAAGGTGCCAGAAAATTTAGTTTTTGGTGAAGTCTCTCTTGCTGACAGACCTTTCACTGTATTCTCACATTGTGTAGATAAAACTCTGATCTTTCTTCCTTTTCTTATAAAAACACTAACCCTGACATGGGGGCCCCACTCTCATGACTGCATCTAAACCTAATTTAACTTCCCAAAGACTCTACCTCCAAATATCATCACATTGTGGTAAGTGCTTCAACATATAAATTTGGAGTGACACAAACAGTCCATAACAATTTGTAAAAAATACTTGTAGGGACAGAAATAAATAGTAAGTAGTATTTATCCTCAGGATAGGACACATTCCTTATTTATCAGGGTATGAGTATGGGGAACTCAGACTGTCTGATGTGTAGCTAAGCTTAAACCTGTTGTAAACTTGGTTAAATTCAGTTAACCACTGTCTTCAACTATTTTGAAGGAAGGGTGGGCCTGAATTCTGGTGAGAGTCCAGATAAGTCTTGATGTTTTATAGTGAGGCTACCAGCCTTTTGGACTACGGGAGATTTCTCTTTGCTTTATAGTCTGGCTGCCAGCCTTTTGGGTCAGTGGGGACTTCTATTTGCTTCCCAGTCCTGTCCCTAGCTTTCTGCCCTTTGAGGGCACTCCCAAACTTTGGAAGGACACTTCAGCACACATTATGAAAGCTTGTAGTGCATTGGAGTGAATTATCTTAGCTTTTCTGCTGCACTTGTGGCAAAATACCCATCCAAGTTTGCTCCTGTAGTGTTGAGAATATCTAGATAGTTTCAAGTAAATTACAGTGCTATCAATCCCAAAATAAAAAAAAAATCTTTGTTTTCATGTCAGGTCACCCTATTTCTTTTGTTTGGTGAAATGACCATGATTTGGCTGAAGTTTTTGAAATGATATCTGAGGCAATACCTTTAAAGAGGGTATCAGTTATCATGATTAATCACAACACAACTAGGTAGGATGTTTCTGTCTCCCTGGAGCATGCTGAGAGATGACACTTGTTGTGTGCCCATCAGACTAACACTAACAGTGTGTCAGGAGACAGAAAATAATGATAAAATTTGCCATTTTAAGCTACAAAAATCTTGGGGATTATATTGGAATGGATTGTCATGAAGAGAGAAAACATTTGACTGAACCAAATGTGGATTAAGCCAAATTTATCAACATGAGAGCCCTTAAAAGATATTCTAATTTTATGTGCTGGCTCAAACAGCTGGGAGAAGCTAAGACCATTTCTTCATTGGGTTGATTTAAAAACTCAACTAACCAGGGTGGAGCCAAAATGGCCGAATAGGAACAGCTCCAGTCTACAGCTCCCAGCGTGAGCAACACAGAAGACAGGTGATTTCTGCATTTCCAACTGAGGTACTGGGTTCATCTCACTGGGGAGTGCCGGATAGTGGGTGCAAGACAGTGGGTGCAGTGCACCATGTGTGAGCCGAAGCAGGGCGAGGCATCGCCTCACCTGGGAATCACAAGGGGTCAGGGAATTCCCTTTCCTAGTCAAAGAAAGGGGTGACAGACAGCACCTGGAAAATTGGGTCACTCCCAACCTAATACTGTGCTTTTCCAATGGGCTCAACAAACAGCACATCAGGAGATTATATCCAGCACCTGGCTCGGAGGGTCCTACGCCCAAGGAGCCTTGCTCATTGCTAGCACAGCAGTCTGAGATCAAACTACAAGGCAGCAACAAGGCTGGGGGAGGGCACCCACCATTGCCAAGGCTTGAGTAGGTAAACAAAGCGGCCAGGAAGCTCGAACTGGGTGGAGCCCACCACAGCTCAAGGAGGCCTGCCTGCCTCTGTAGGCTCCACCTCTGGGAGCAGGGCACAGACAAACAAAAGGCAGCAGTAACCTCTGCAGACTTAAATGTCCCTGTCTGACAGCTTTGAAGAGAGTAGTGGTTCTCCCAGCACGCAGCTTGAGAACTGAGAACGGGCAGACTGCCTCCTCAAGTGGGTCCCTGACCCCCAAGTAGCCTAACTGGGAGGCATCCCCCAGTAGGGGCGGACTGACACCTCACACGGCCAGGTACTCCTCTGAGACAAAACTTCCAGAGGAACAATCAGGCAGCAGCATTTGCGGTTCACCAATATCTGCTGTTCTGCAACCACTGCTGCTGATACCCAGGAAAACAGGGTCTGGAGTGGACCTCCAGCAAACTCCAACAGACCTGCAGCTGAGGGTCCTGACTGTTAGAAGGAAAACTAACAAACAGCAAGGACATCCACACCAAAAACCCATCTGTACGTCACCATCATCAAAGACCAAAGGTAGATAAAACCACAAAGATGGGGAAAAAACAGAGCAGAAAAATTGGAAACTCTAAAAATCAGAGCGCCTCTCGTCCTCCAAAGGAATGCGGCTCCTCACCAGCAACGGAACAAAGCTGGAGGGAGAATGACTTTGACAAGTTTAGAGAAGAAGTCTTCAGAGGATCAAACTACTCCTAGCAAAAGGAGGAAGTTTGAACCAATGGCAAAGAAGTTAAAAACCTTGAAAAAAAAATCAGATGAATGGATAAACAGAATAACCAATGCAGAGAAGTCCTTAAAGGACCTGATGGAGCTGAAAACCATGGCACGAGAACTACGTGATGAATGCACAAGCCTCAGTAGCCGATGCAATCAACTGGAAGAAAGGGTATCAGTTATGGAAGACGAAATGAATGAAATGAAGCGAGAAGAGAAGTTTAGAGAAAAAAGAATAAGAAGAAACGAACAAAGCATCCAAGAAATATGGGACTATGTGAAAAGACCAAATCTATGTCTGATTGGTGCACCTGAAAATGACGGGGATAATGGAACCAAGTTGGAAAACACTCTGCAGGGTATTATCCAGGAGAACTTCCCCAATCTAGCAAGGCAGGCCAACATTCAAATTCAGGAAATACAGAGAATGCCACAAAGATACTCCTCGAGGAGAGCAACTCCAAGACACATGATTGTCAGATTCACCAAAGTTGAAATGAAGGAAAAAATGTTAAGGGCAGCCAGAGAGAAAGGTCAGGTTACCCACAAAGGGAAGCCCATCAGACTAACAGTGGATCTCTCGGCAGAAACTCTACAAGCCAGAAGAGAGTGGGGGCCAATATTCAACATTCTTAAAGTAAAGAATTTTCAACCCAGAATTTCATATCCAGCCAAGCTAAGCTTCATAAGTGAAAGAGAAATAAAATCCTTTACAGACAAGCAAATGCTGAGAGATTTTGTCACCACCAGGCCTGCCCTAAAAGAGCTCCTGTAGGAAGCACTAAACATGGAAAGGAACAACCTGTACCAGCCACTGAAAAAACATGCCAAATTGTAAAGACCTTCAAGGCTAGGAAGAAACTGCATCAACTAACAAGCAAAATAACCAGCTAACATCATAATGACAGGATCAAATTCACACATAACAATATTAACCTTAAATGTAAATGGGCTAAATGCGCCAATTAAAAGACACAGACTGGCAAATTGGATAAAGAGTCAAGACCCGTCAGTATGCTGTATTCAGGAAACCCATCTCACATGCAGAGACACACATAGGCTCAAAATAAAGCGATGGAGGAAGATCTACCAAGCAAATGAAAGACAAAAAAAGGCAGGGGTTGCAATCCTAGTCTCTGAAAAACCAGACTTTAAACCAACAAAGATCAAAAGAGACAAAGAAGGCCATTACATAATGGTAAAGGGATCAATTCAACGAGAAGAGCTAACTATCCTAAATATATATGCACCCAATACAGGAGCACCCAGATTCATAAAGCAAGTCCTTAGAGACCTACAAAGAGACTTAGACTCCCACACAATGATAATGGGAGACTTTAACACCCCACTGTCAACATTAGACAGATCAACGAGACAGAAAGTTAACAAGGATACCTGGGAATTGAACTCAGCTCTGCACCAAGCGGACCTAATAGACATCTACAGAACTCCCCACCCCAAATCAACAGAATATACATTCTTTTTAGCACCACACCACACCTATTCCAAAATTGACCACATAGCTGGAAATAAAGCTCTCCTCAGCAAATGTGAAAGAACAGAAATTATAACAAACTGTCTCTCAGACCACAGTGCCATCAAACTACAACTCAGGATTAAGAAACTCACTCAAAACCACTCAACTACATGGAAACTGAACAACCTGCTCCTGAATGACTACTGGGTACATAATGAAATGAAGGCAGAAATAAAGATATTCTTTGAAACCAACAAGAACAAAGACACAACATACCAGAATCTCTGGGACACATTTAAAGCAGTGTGTAGAGGGAAGTTTATAGCACTAAATGCCCACAAGAGAAAGCAGGAAAGATCTAAAACTGACACCAGAACATCACAATTAAAACATCTAGAGAATCAAGAGCAAACACATTCAAAAGCTAGCAGAAGGTAAGAAATAACTAAGATCAGAGCAGAACTGAAGGAAATAGAGACACAAAAAACCCTTCAAAAAATCAATGAATCCAGAAGCTGGTTTTTTGAAAAGATCAACAAAATTCATAGACCACTAGCAAGACTAATAAAGAAGAAAAGAGAGAAGAATCAAATAGACGCAATAAAAAATGATAAAGGGGATATCACCACCAATCCCACAGAAATACAAACTACCATCAGAGAATACTATAAACACCTCTACACAAATAAACTAGAAAATCTAGAAGAAATGGATAAATTCCTCGACACATACACCCTCCCAAGACTAAACCAGGAAGAAGTTGAATCTCTGAATAGACCAATAACAGGCTCTGAAATTGAGGCAATAATTAGCAGCTTACCAACCAAAAAAAGTCCAGGACCAGATGGATTCACAGCCGAATTCTACCAGAAGTACAAAGAGGAGCTGCTACCATTCCTTCTGAAACTATTCCAATCAATAGAAAAAGAGGGAATCCTCCCTAACTCATTTTATGAGGCCAGCATCATCCTGATACCAAAGCCTGGCAGAGACACAACCAAAAAAGAGAATTTTAGACCAATATCCTTGATGAACATTGATGCAAAAATCCTCAATAAAATACTGGCAAACTGAATCCAGCAGCACATCAAAAAGCTTATCCACCATGATCAAGTGGCCTTCATCCCTGGGATGCAAGACTGGTTCAACATATGAAAATCAATAAACGTAATCCAGCATATAAACAGAACCAAAGACAAAAACCACATGATTATCTCAATAGATGCAGAAAAGGCCTTTGACAAAATTCAACAACACTTCATGCTAAAAACTCTCAATAAATTAGGTATTGATGGGACGTATCTTAAAATAATAAGAGCTATCTATGACAAACCCACAGCCAATATTATACTGAATGGACAAAACTGGAAGCATTCCCTTTGAAAACTGGCAAAAGACAGGGATGCCCTCTCTCACCATTCCTATTCAACATAGAGTTGGAAGTTCTGGCCAGGGCAATCAGGCAGGAGAAGGAAATAAAGGGCATTCAATTAGGAAAAGAGGAAGTCAAATTGTCCCTGTTTGCAGATGACATGATTGTATATCTAGAAAACCCCATCGTCTCAGCCCAAAATCTCCTTAAGCTGATAAGGAACTTCAGCAAAGTCTCAGGATACAAAATCAGTGTGCAAAAATCACAAGCATTCCTATACACCAATAACAGACAAACAGAGAGCCAAATCATGAGTGAACTCCCATTCACAATTGCTTCAAAGAGAATCAAATACCTAGGAATCCAACTTACAAGGGATGTGAAGGACCTCTTCAAGGAGAACTACAAACCACTGCTCAATGAAATAATAGAGGATACAAACAAATGGAAGAACATTCCCTGCTCATGTGTAGGAAGAACCAATATCGTGAAAATGGCCATACTGCCCAAGGTAATTTATAGATTCAATGCCTTGCCCATCAAGCTACCAATGACTTTCTTCACAGAGTTGGAAAAAACTACTTTAAAGTTCATATGGAACCAAAAAAGAGCCTGCATTTCCAAGTCAATCCTAAGCCAAATGAACAAAGCTGGAGGCATCATGCTACCTGACTGCAAACTATACTACAAGGCTACAGTAACCAAAACAGCATGGTACTGGTACCAAAACAGAGATATAGAACAGTGGAACAGAACAGAGCCCTCAGAAATAATGCCACATATCTACCAGTATCTGATCTTTGACAAACCTGACAAAAACAAGCAATGGGGAAAGGATTCTCTATTTAATAAATGGTGCTGGGAAAACTGGCTAGCCATATGTAGAAAGCTGAAACTGGATCCCCTCCTTACACCTTATACAAAAATTAATTCAAGATGGATTAAAGACTTCAATGTTGGACCTAAAACCAGAAAAACCCTAGAATAAAACCTAGGCAATACCATTCAGGACATAGGCATGGGCAAGGACTTCATGTCTAAAACACCAAAAGCAATGGCAACAAAAGCCAAAATTGACAAATGGGATCTAATTAAACTAAAGAACTTCTGCACAACAAAAGAAACTACCATCAGAGTGAATAGGCAACCTACAGAATGGGAGAAAATTTTTGCAACCTACCCATCTGACAAAGGGCTAATATCCAGAATCTACAGTGAACTCCAACAAATTTACAAGAAAAAAACAAACAACCCCATCAAAAAGTGGGTGAAGGATATGAACAGACATTTCTCAAAAGAAGACATTTATGCAGCCAAAAAACACATGAAAAAATGCTCATCATCACTGGCCATCAGAGAAATGCAAATCAAAACCACAATGAGATACCATCTCACACCAGTTAGAATGGTGATCATTAAAAAGTCAGGAAACAACAGGTGCTGGACAGGATGTGGAGAAATAGGAACACTTTTACACTGTTGGTGGGACTGTAAACTAATTTAACCATTGTGGAAGTCAGTGTGGCGATTCCTCAGGGATCTAGAACTAGAAATACCATTTGACCCAGCCATCCCATTGCTGGGTATATACCCAAAGGATTATAAATCATGCTGCTAGAAAGACACACACACACATATGTTTATTGCGGCACTATTCACAATAGCAAAGACTTGGAACCAACCCAAATGTCCAACAATGATAGAGTGGATTAAGAAAATGTGGCACATATACACCATGGAATACTATGCAGCCATAAAAAATGATGAGTTCATGTCCTTTGTAGAGTCATGGATGAAGCTGGAAACCATCATTCTCAGCAAACTATCACAAGGACAAAAAACCAAACACCGCATGTTCTCACTCATAGGTGGGAATTGAACAATGAGAACACGTGGTCACAGGAAGGGGAACATCACACACGGGGGACTGTTGTGGGGTGTGGTGAGGGGGCAGGGATAGCATTAGGAGATATACCTATTGCTAAATGATTAGTTAATGGGTGCAGCACACCAACATGGCACATGTAGACATATGTAACAAACCTGCACGTTGTGCACATGTACTCTAAAACTTAAAGTATAATAATAATAAAATTTTAAAAAAGTAATGTTCAAGTTTATTTGGGTATGAAATTCTAATACCATCCAGAGAGAGTTCATGCTGCTTCAAAATAATTTTAAGTGTAATTCTACAAATAAAGAAACCATTTATATCAATAAAAAAATAAAACCATAAAATTTTAAAAATAAAGAGATGAATATTGAAGATAATCTGATTAGGTAAGATGTTGGTTTATTTCATTTCATACTCTAAGCACATTTTTTTCATAATGGAATTATGCTCTACATGCCCTCCTCAGGAAACTTCCCAGGAAGGTCATCATAATGCTGTTGTTTTGTGCTCATTATTGTTACAAATTCAAAAAATGTAAAAAATATGACAAGAAATATACCCAATAAAGATATTTATGGTGCAAACACATCCCTCTTCCACTCCTTACTCCATCTCACTATTTGCCATTTTTCACTTTTCTGAAGATATTCTTTACACATATTAGTGTATGTGGGGTAGTTGTGTATGTGTTCATGTGTTTTAATAGATACATTTATTTATATATGCATATTGATAGGTTAGTAGAGAGATAACATCCTGTGTCATCTTATAAATACCATCTTGTAACTTTTTTCTCCTTAAATATATCAATTCTCTAACTACAGACTTGCCTCGCTATTTTTAATAAATGCAAAATATTACATTATGAAGATGTGTTTAACAACTTCAGGACTGGTAGTCATTTATGAGATGTGTAGCTTTTTGCTAATGCAAACAACACTGCAACAAAGGTCTTTGTACACCCACTTCTGAATGAATATGTGCAAATTTGTGTCAAGTGAATACTTTTATGTATCAAATACATCAATAATTTAAGGCCTTTAAGTGATCTTAGGTCTTTTGCCTAATATTTCTACATTTAAATTTTTATTGTTTTGAAATTAAAGATAGGAATTTATTTATTTTTTTCCTGATTTTAAATCAGTTAGCACACACACACTCCATTGAAACGTTCTGCCTTTACGTAATGATATGAAATTACTCCTTCATGATAAAGTAAATCTCCATACACATTTGGGTTCATTTCTGAAGCCTGATATGAAATGCTTTCAAAAACCTTGCTTCGCATTATTTATTTGAGAGCAAGTTAATTTAGTGGTTTTGATAAGTATACTTTTTAAAATAAAGAAATGCAAAGTCTGGTATTTAAGCTTATCTGTCCAAGAAGACGATTAAGTATTTATACACAGTCTTAGCATTTTCATGTCTATTATTTTTCCTACTATTCCAGAAAGATTGTAACAGAAAAAAAAGGCTAATATAATGGAGATAGTGGGCCAGAATATATGTTGAATTACAATTTCAACCTTCACTCTGAGGGGCCTAGATTAGTTATGCTCAATAACTTGGAGGAGGAAAAACTAGATCAAATTTGGAAGCATTGGTTTGTGTTCCTAGTCTACCTGTCTGTAATCTTGAGAAACTTTGATTTTCTCAGTTTTGGAATTGTCATCAGCTAAATATGAATAATGAAAATGTATTTTCCTAATTTATATAGTGACAATGTTATCCAATGAATCAATATGTCTTATGTTTGTGAAGTATCTTATACAATACATTAAGTGAGAATGAGGAAACACTATAGGAAGAAATAGGAAAAAAAAATCATATTTTAAACTTACATTATTTTAACGAGTGCATGAAGTTGTCATATCTTTATCAGAATAATAAGTACATGTGAAGGAAAAATTTACCTATTTCATAATCCATATTTAAAAAATCACCTTGACATTGGCTCTGTTTAAGTGACGGATTACGTTTATTGATTTGTGTATGTTGAACCAGCCTTTCATCCCAGGGATGAAGTCGATTTGATTATGGTGGATAAGCTTTTTGATGTGCTGCTGGATTCGGTTTGCCAGTATTTTATTGAGGATTTTCACATCGATGTCATCAGGGATATTGGCCTGAAATTTTCTTTTTTTGTTGTGTCTCTGCCAGGTTTTGGTATCAGGATGATGCTGGCCTCACAAAATGAGTTAGGGAAGATTCCGACTTTTTCTATTGTTTGGAATAGTTTCAGAAGGAATAGTACCAGCTCCTCTTTGTACCTCTGGTAGAATTCGGCTGTGAATCTGTCTGATCCTGGGCTTCTTTTTTGGTTGGTAGGCTATTAATTACTGCCTGAATTTCAGAACTTGTTATTGGTCTATTCAGGGATTAGATTTCTTCCTGGTTTAGTCTTGGGAGGATGTATGTGTCCAGGAATTTATCCATTTCTTCTAAATTTTCTAGTTGATTTGCATAGAGTTATTTATAGTATCCTCTGATGGTAGTTTGTATTTCTGTAAGATCAGTGGTGATATCCCCCTTATCATTTTTTGTCGTGTCTATTTGATTCTTCTCTGTTTTCTTCTTTATTAGTCCAGTTAGTGGTCTATTTTGTTAAGCTTTTCAAAAAACCAGCTCCTGGATTCATTGATTTTTTGAACGGTTTCTTGTGTCTCTATCTCCTTCATCTCTGCTCTGATCTGTTATTTCTTGTCTTCTGCTAGCTTTTGAATTTGTTTGATCTTTCTTCTCTAGTTCTTTTAATTGTGATGTCAGGTTGTTTATTTTAAAGGCCTTCAATAAAATTCAACACCTCTTCATGCTAAAAACTCTCAATAAACTAGGTATTGATGGAACGTGTCTCAAAATAATAAGAGCTATTTATGACAAACCCAAAGCTAATATCATACCGAATGGGCAAAAGCTGGAAGCAGTCTCTTTGAAAACCAGCACAAGACAAGAATGCCCTCTCTCACCACTCCTATTCAACATAGTATTGGAAGTTCTGGTCAGGGCAATCAGGCAAGAGAAAGAAATAAAGTGTATTCAAATAGGAAGGCAGGAAGTCAAATTGTCTCTGTTTGCAGATGACATGATTGTATATTTAGAAAACCCCATCGTCTCAGACCTAAATCTCCTTAAGCTGAAAAGCAACTTCAGCAAAGTCTTAGGATACAAAATCAATTTGCAAAAATCACAAGCATTCCTATACACCAATAATAGACAAACAGCCAAATCATGAGTAAACTCCCATTCACAATTGTTACAAAGAGAATAAAATACCTAGGAATACAACTTACAAGGAATGTGAAGGACCTCTTCAAGAAGAACTCCAAACCACGGCTCAAGGAAATAAGAGAGGACACAAACAAATGAAAAAACATTCCATGCTCATGGATGGGAATAATCAATATCGTGAAAATGGACATACTGCCTGAAGTAATTTAGAGATTCAATGCTATCCCCATCAAGTTACTATTGACTTTCTTCACAGAATTAGAAAAAAACTACTTTAAATTTCATATGAAACCAAAAAAGAGCCCGTATAGCCAAGACAATCATAAGCAAAAATAACAAAGCTGGAGGCATCATGTTACCTGACTTCAAACTATACTACAAGGATACAGTAACCAAAACAGCATGGTACTGATACCAAAACAGATATATAGACCAATAGAACAGAACAGAGGCCTCAGAAATAATGCCACACATCTACAACCATCAGATCTTTGACAAACCTGACAAAAACAAGCAATGGGGAAGGGATTTCATATTTAATAAATGGTTTTGGGAAAACTGGCTAGCCATATGCAGAAAACGGAAACTGGACCCCTTCCTTACACCTTATAAAAAAATTAACTCAAGATGGATTAAGATTTAAATGTAAGACCCAATATCATAAAAACTCTAGAAGATAACATAGACAATACCATTCATGACATAGGCATGGTCAAAGACATCATGACTAAAACACCAAAAGCAATGGCAACAAAAGCCAAAATAGACAAATAGGATCTAATTAAACTAAAGAGCTTCTGCACAACAAAAGAAACTATCATCAGAGTGAACAGTTAACCTACGGAATGGAAGAAAATTTTTGCAATCTATCCATCTGACAAAGGACTAATATCCAGAATCTACAAATAACTTAAACAAATTTACAAGAAAAAAAACAACCCCATCAAAAAGTGGGTGAAGAATATGAACAGACACCTCTCAAAAGAAGGCATGAAGACATTTATGTGGTCAACAAACATATGAAATGAAGCTCATCATCATTGGTCATTAGAGAAATGCAAATCAAAACTACAATGAGATACCATCTCATGCCAGTTAGAATGGTGATCATTAAAAAGTCAGGAAACAAGAGAGGCTGGAGAGGATGTGGAGAAATAGGAATGCTTTTACACTGTTGGTGGGTATGTAAATTAGTTCAACCATTGTGGAAGACAGTGTGGTGATTTCTGAAGGATCTAGAACCAGAAATACCATTTGACCTAGAAATCCCATTACTGGATATATACCCAAAGGATTATAAAACATTCCACTATAAAGACACACGCACATATATGTTTATTGCAGCACTATTTACAATAGCAAAGACTTGGAACCCAAATGCCCATCAGTGATAGACTGGATAAGGAAAATGTGGCACATATACACCATGGGATACTATGCTGCCATAAAAAAGAATGAGTTTATGTTCTTTGCAGGGACATGGATTATGCTGGAAGCCATGATTCTCATTAACTAACACAGGAACAGCAAACCAAACACTCCTTATTCTCACTCATAAATGGGAGTTGAACAATGAGAACACATGGACACAGTGAGGGGAACATCATACATTGGGGCCTGTTAGAGGGTGGGGTGCATTAGGAGAAACACCTAATGTAGATGACGGGTTGATGGGTGCAGCAAACCACCATGGCATGTGTGTACCTATGTAACAAACCTGCACGTTCTGCACATGTATCCCAGAACTTAAAGTATAATGAAAAAAATCATCTTGGCAACCATGAGATTTAGTCTTGCTTGAATTAATTTTCTTTCTTCTTAGATGACTCTCCAAACTTACATGCCCAAAGTTTGTATTTTGTTAGAAACATTTTCTTGATTTCTTCTGTGGCATACTCATTTTCTAGTCCCTCTGGTTATTTTTCCCTGGACATGTTGGCAGCAGTAGAGGCTAATTATTTTGAATCTCGGAGGCTTAAACGGAAGTATGAGAGTGAGGCAGTAATGGCATGAAAGCTCCCTGAAGAGCTATGTATTCTATGGATGGCCATCAGTTGGAGTTGGTTTCTTGAGGTTGACCCTTCAGTAGGTCAGAGAGAGCTGGGTTGATGTTAAAGAGGGCTGAGAAGAAATTCAAACAACAAACTGGTTTGAGGATCATGTTTGGGCCCCAGGTCAGTCTTCCAGGACTCCGTATCTCCATGTCACATTCCAGACAAACTGATGGATTACAACCCAGCATCAGGTAAATGTTGAAGGGATTTGGAGAGGGAATATTAATTAAAGTTGTCATCACTTCGTGGAGTAGGCTGAAGGGAGCACTCAGGAGTAGAACTATAAAATAAAAATTTTTTAAAATGTAAAAAGGTTTATTCTACAAGCCACATACATTTTTGTTTGAGAGAACAATAAGCTTATGAAAAGTATACTGATGTAGGATTCAAAATATTGTATTATTCAAATCTTTTCTTCTGAATTTACTAGATCTATAAACTTGAGCAAGTCCTACAACCTCTTGGTGCCTGCGTTTCCTCTCTTCTGTTATATAAAAAAATCGTTCTTTAGAGGCATATTATAAGAAGAAAACAAACATACTTGTATGAAAGCAATTATATACTTAAAATTTAAGTTTATGGATAGAAAATTTGATATGAACTATCTGGTGTTTGCCAATCTTTGTTAAACACTATTCTATTATTAGGAGACTGATGGAAAAATATGTGTTACCAATCATGTTATTTACCTTTGAAACTTTATATTTTCATTTAAGTATTTTTAGGTGTACCTTTTTTTAACCACTTTTCTAGACTGAAACTGCTATTTCCATTACAAAGATTGTAGCTATTAAGATGTTGATTTTTGAGAAAATTTAGCTCTGAAAGGCCTACCACTCAGATAATCAAAGGTTGTTTAAATCCATTAGCTGGGTGTGGTGGTGCACACCTGTAATTCCAGCTGCTCTGGAGGCTGAGACAGGAGAATCGTGTGAACCTGGGAAGCGGAGGTTGCAGTGAGCTGAGATCACATCACTGCACTCCAGCCTGGGTGGCAGAACAGAAACAAAAACAAAAACAAACAACAACAAAAAGTTGTTTAAATCTATGACAATTTAGAACAAGGGAATCTGATAGCATGGAATTAAAACTATAGCAAAAGTTCTTACAAAGTAACATGAAGAGGAAGTATATAAAATAAGTCAGGTAGAATGAAAATCTAAATATTGTTTCAGTTTTGTTTATTAACATATTATATTAGAGCCATGCTTAGAAAGTTAATGAAGAGTGTATTAGGATGTAAACGTTTAAAATAATGGGCTTCATGTGTTCTTAAACCATGTGGTCAGATACTTCTACTCTGCTCACCCTTCGTTTTTTTGTGCACTCCATTTGCCAGAGATCTATAGATTCTTCTGTCTCCCAGCTCCAGTTTTTCACCCTCAAGGGGATTATCAGCCTGTTTTTAACTTTTGATTTAGGCGAATTCCGTATTATTCTTATACAGTCAGAAAGGCAAGAACTCCCTGCATCCTTTCTAGACATTTAAACTGAATTACTGAATTTAGTCTTAGATCTTTCATTTTTATTTTCTATTTTTCTTCCATTTCTTTTTATATTCATATATTTGACAGCTACTTATGTGACTATTACTATGTATCAGACAAAAATTTACCATCTTTATGTACTTCTTTTTTCTGTCTTATTTTTTTCTTTCCATTTTTCTTCTCTCTTTACTTTCTGAGTTTATCTGCTGCTATTATTTCCTTGTTACTCATTTTACCTCTATTTCCTATAAATTTTCAATATTTAAGCACAAATGAAGTATATGGAAAACCAGGGGAACAGGCTACATATACTTCTTTAATAACTTTACTGTTTTCCTCGGGTAAAGTATATAATTAATTTTATTCATAACTTTCCAAACTTACCCCAGAAACTTAATAGTACTTAATAGAACTTAATAGAAACAAATAGCTGTGCCTACTGGAAGAGAAGCAGTAGAAAAATATAAAGATTGTGAAAATGTTATTACTAATTTTGAAATGTAGGAAAAGAAACACAGCTTTCTTCAGATTTAGAACATTATCTGAGTTCTAACTAAATGAGATTCTGAAAGAGACTCTAGCAAGAAAACAATCCAGACAGAATGAAGGTAGCATTCCAAAATTGTCTTTTTAGGATTTTAATTGGACAAGGAATTACTTGAATACTGATTAAGAAGTATTCTTCTATAAGAAATCCTACAACACAGAAGAAGTCTTCCTTTGACCATAATAGATAAGGCAAAATTTGATTCAGAAATATATATGTAAAGATAAAATTGTTTCTCAGTATTGAATCAAAATATATTCATATAATAATCTTCTAATCAACTGGCAGAGATATGTGTTCCATTTCTTTGGGGATACAATACAAAATGTAATCATATATATATATATATATATATTATATATATATATATATTATTTTTTTTTTTTGAGACGGAGTCTCACTGTCTCCCAGGCTCGAGTGCAGTGGTGCGATCTCGGCTCATGGCAAGCTCCGCCCCCTCCGGGTTCACGCCATTCTCCTGCCTCAGCCTCCCGAGTAGCTGGGACTACAGGTGGCTGCCACCACACCCGGCTAATTTTTTTTTTTATTTTGAGTAGAGACGGGGTTTCACCTTGTTCGCCAGGATGGTCTCGATCTCCTGACCTCATGATCCGCCCGCCTCGGCCTCCCAAAGTGCTGGGATTGCAGGCGTGAGCCACCCCGCCCGGCCGTAATCATATTTTTAAGGCTCTATTCCTAAAGACTCACTGTCCCAGGTGAGAAATGGGAGAAGAAAGGAATTGGATAGCACCAGTTTGAATGAAGAGTGGCATTATAGAGATACAAAATGACAAGGTTTAAAAAAGGAGACGTCCCAGAAGTTTCTAGAATCACTTCTATGTAATTTTACCATGTGAGTAGTCCTACTAATATTGCAGCTACTGCTTTTGTATTATATGTGGTCTTTTATAAGTTTTTTTTTAATTTACAAAGGAAATATACATTTAATTGTCATTAAAGTACTATGGAGTTTATATGCAAGTATTTTAATTCTCTTGATCTGGTTGAACAAACCAGGTCACAAGGGTATGAAGTGACATATTTAAAGTCCATGCATTTTTAGTAAGTAAAATAAATGTATTTATTGGTTAATTAGTTACATCAATTTGAGAATTAGCAATAAAACCCTAAAACTGCCAATGGGGCATATTTTAACTCTGCTTTGACCTCTTGGGCTCTGAATTAGTAAATGATGTATATGGGTTTGGTTGTGATGAAATATCAGTGAAACTGATTGAGGTCATAGGTGAAAAATAATGATATCAAAATGCTAATGTAATCTAGGAATAACATATCAGAGCACCAAAGGAAAAAGCTTCATGATTGCTGGTTTCAACTAAATTCAAATTGATTAACATGTAGTAAATATCTATTATATTTAACATATACTCTTATGTCTAAAAGTCACGTGCTGACTCTTTTCAAAGAGTATGTAATCGATATAGTCAGGAAAACATATCGAGTACAAAAAAGACAGAAAAAAATCTCTATCTCTCCCATATATAGATATATATCTATATATGAGTATATATGTATATCATGAAAAAATTATCAAATCATATATACATGATATATATATATCATGTATATATATATATATCATGTATATATGTCATATTTATAAATGAGTATATCATCAAGAAATTACAAATAAAATGCTCTGGACGACCAGTAAGAAAGGAGAGCAGGAAATACTTAAGGACATTTTTATATTTGAGATGATCCTTACAGGATACATAACAACAATGGCATTTCACATCAGCATAAATACAAGGGGTCAAGGGGGAAGGTCACAAGTTTGGTTGGATCAGTGAATATGTCTGCATGGTTCAAGCGATTGTTATATGAGGCCTGAGTCCAAGGTTGCATTTTAATATAATGTGTCAGAATATGGAGAGCCACTGAATAATTTTGAATTGAAATGTACATGGCCACATTTTAACGATGGAAAGACTGTTCTCCAAACCAGCTAGGTTGTTTTGAAGATGAGAGAACAATTGTAAGTAAGAATACCAGTTTGAAAGCTAGAGATCATGGGACACTGAACTATTTTCTGTATGTCTGCCTTAATGTTTTTAGATAGATACAGATTTAATAGATAGATTTGAGAGACAATGGTGAAGAAGAAATTACTCCAGCTGACATCTTACGTGACATGTATGCAATTATAATTCAAAGAGAATGATGACCTCTGCATACCAAAAGAATTGTTATTCTATAAGCAAATGAAGAAATTAGAAGTGTTAATGGATGGATACTAAAATCAGTTTTGAATTTAGTGATTCTTATGTTTAGCTGTGAAGCAAGTTTTTATCCCTATCATTTCTCACTGTCACTCATTTCATTCACACGGATACCGTAACTCAGATGACACGATTTGAAATATAGAGCTGGCCAACTAAGTACATGAACCCTACTAAGTCAGGATCACAAGAAGAATATGACATAGGGCAACTGAGAGGATCAGAAAAGTAAATAGAGGATCCTGAGCTGATTTCAGAGCAGTCACATTTTGTTTACTATCCTCTAATAAATATTTGTTTATTGTTACAAATATCATTATAAACTGCATAAATGCATAAAAATAAAACAACTGTAATACATCTGGGGATTCATAATTAGGTAAGTATATAATAATTGTTAATAGTCATTGAATTATTAGTATATGACAAGAACTGAGCTATGTTTGCAATGTACACTCTATTCCTTAATTTGTACACTAGTTCTATGAGATGGGTATAATTATGCTTATTTGAAAGATGAGAAAATTGAAGCACACAAAGATTAAATGACATCTCCAAAGTCACACAGCTAATGAATGGAATGACTGGGATTTGGAGGAAATCCCAGTCTTTTATAAATGTCTTTTATAAAACAACTAGAGAAAAACACAAGACAAATTTACTAAAAGATAAGAGTCAAACAAAAAAAGAAATTTGGGATTGTAGGGAATGGAAAAATTTGCAATTGGAGTTATTCTTTAGAAATTATATGATAAAGGAATTGTGTAATTTGGATGGGCAAAGAGCAGGATAGAGGCAATTTTGGTGGAAAAAATAGTATCAGTAATTAGAAAATATGAGAATAAAGAAGGGAGAGAGAGGGAAAATGATTAAGTTTATATGTGCTGAGAATGATGCTGAGAGATTACAAATTCATATACATCCTCAAATTTCAAGGATTCACATATTTAAAACTCTTTCTGGTGATTTCTTCCAGAGATTAAAATTTCATCAAATGTATCCAGATATTTTTAAAGTTGCATTTTCACAGCAAACAAATTTCTAAGGACTGATTGTTTTTTTGTGTGTGTAATTTTGTTTGTTTTTTTGGCTTTTTTCTCCCTATTTTTAAATGTTCTGAGTAGGACTAGCATTAAAGCTTGGAAGGGGTAAAACGAGTCATGGCACTCCATCCTTTTATCATGCAGACTTTATAAAGTGCTCCAGTTCTTATGGTGTTTTCTGACCAGGATCTGTACCAAGCAGATGAACATGCCAAGATGTCTTCGTTCTCCCTGGCTGCACATCCTCCTGTAGTCTTCATGCCGGCCTTCGTTTGACCTGTTTTTGGGAAGTTCTGCCTTTTCCTTCTATTTTAATCTACACTCTGTTGCCACCATTACATATCCATGCATGTAGAGTTGATGGTAGTATACTAAAACTTTTTAGAAGAGAAGATATGAAAACCCAAATGGAGTGAATAGCTAACCAGAAGACATATATTAAATAAGCAAAATTCCCAACTATGTTGCTGGTGTGGTATTTATTCTGTTCTCAGTAATCTTTCAATATTACATTGATGATGTTGTCTCCACATTTCATCATAATCAGGATGTAGATGCAAATGATATTTTACTGTAATGAAGATACAGATGCCGATTAGAGCAAAAATGAAAATTTCATCTTGGCATCTCTGATCTCTAATTCTCAGTGGCTTCCTCCTACTGTTGATGTCTATCCCTAACTGTGGGTATTTAGAGGTCTCAGCTGGAATTTCACCTCCCAGTGCTAACATGTGGATCAACAATCAAAGCTCGCTAGATGATTTTATCCTATTGGGATTTTCTGACCGTCCCTGGCTAGAGACACCCCTCTGTAATCTTTCTGGTGGCCTACATCTTTTCCCTATTTGGAAATATCTCCATTATCCTAGTTTCCCATCTGGATCCCCAGCTTGACAGTCCCATGTACTTTTTTGTCTCTAATCTATCCTTTCTGGACCTCTGCTATACCACCAGCACTGTCCCACAGATGCTGGTCAACCTCCGGGGACCAGAAAAGACCATTAGCTATGGGGGTTGTGTTGCCCAACTCTATATATTTTTGGCCCTGGGTTCTACTGAATGCATACTTCTAGCCATCATGGCCTTTGACCGTTACGCTGCCATATGCAAGCCCCTTCACTACCCAGTCATCATGAACCATAGACGCTGTATCCACATGGCTGCTGGCACTTGGATCAGTGGCTTTGCTAACTCCCTTGTCCAGTCCACTCTCACAGTGGTGGCCCCAAGATGTGGACAGAGGGTGTTGGACCATTTCTTCTGTGAAGTTCCAGCCCTTTTGAAACTAGCCTGTATTGATATTCGTGTGAATGAAATGGAGCTCAATGTACTAGGCGCTTTGCTTCTCCTGATGCCACTCACCCTCATCCTGGGCACTTATGTGTTCATTGCTCAGGCAGTAATGAGAATCTGCTCTGCTGAAAGTCGCTGGAAGGCTTTCAATACCTGTGCCTCACATTTGCTGGTGGTCTCCCTCTTCTACTTCACAGCCATCAGTATGTATGTCCAGCCTCCCTCTAGCTATTCTCATGACCGGGGGAAGATCATGGCTCTCTTTTATGGCATTGTCACACCCACCCTCAACCCATTCATCTACACATTGAGAAACAAGGATGTGAAAGCTGCCCTGAGAAGGTCACTGACTAAAGAGTTTTGGATTAAGACAAGATGATATCTGAAAAGAAGTCCTAAGAAGCGAGGATAGATGTGTTTGACTTTCAAAAAGATGTTGGACATGGAATTGATGAGGGAACAGTATCAAGTGACACAAAGTTTACAAGTGGAACAAGACTAAGAAAAAAACAATTAACTCTTGGTAAAATCTACATAGCATTTTTTCACTTACGAGACTATCTGCTTTACAGTATTGGATTCCATCAAGTCAGTCTTTTTTCTCCCTATTCCTAATGACTAGCTAATCTAGTTAAAGTAAGGGAAAATGGTATAATAGCTAGAGAAAAAGATACTGAGAAAGTTTAGGAAATATATTTAGCATAAATTGTTTATAAATGAATCCCAATTAAATTAGAAATGATCCCAACTCTTAGAAAAACATGCCAGTACTATCGTGAGGTAATTTTGATCAACATGTATTGCCACCATTTAGCCATCTTCTAACATTCGATGTCCAATTATATCACCCTCAAATGCTTTTGTAAGGTCTCACAGGCAAGTAAAATCAAGAGACAATTAGTTCAAAAACATTAAGATGGAATTATGGAAAGAGAAATTAATGAACAAATTTAGAGGTGATGATTTTAAATATATTTTTTTTGCCATGAATTCTTTTAAATACAAATTTTTTTTGCCATAAATGTTTTGCCTTAGTCAATCTTATGCTCTTGTGGTACACAACAATGAGGCCTAGGTCAATGCAAATAGAACTTACTCTGGGGGGAAAGATGAACAGTGAGATGCTTTGGATAGTGATCAGCAGGGGAAAAACCTGAGGTGGAAAAAATTCTAATTTAGGGACACAAACTCAGTGGGAATTTACATGTTTTGACAAGGCAGCTTTCTTCACCACTTGACTGGGTAATTTAGTCCTATTTCAGTGTGGGGGTTTGAGAATACCATGTGGAATTCAAAACTTTGGTTGATCTATTATCTTTATTTAGAAAAAAAAGACTTTTATAGCCTTTTGCTATAAACTGCCTCACAAACCTATGAGCCGAAGAAACCAAGACAAAATAGAGTGAGTTCACCAAAAAATCCACATCATTAAAAGAACAGTGCAAAGCTCTATTTCCTGTACTGTGAGCATGTCCACTTTCTGTGGCTCCCGGTGGTGAGACAGATGAGAAGCTGGAACACAGATAAAAGGTTTTTGGGAACACTTTTGAAGGCCTGTGGCTATATAAGAGAAAGTGAGTTCATTTCCTTAATTCTAGTATAATCTGGAAAAGGATCCTAGACATTATGCATTTTTTTGATCACAGTATTTTTCCCAACCCATGGTTCATTTATACATGGAGTCTGCTATTGGCATGAAATAAAATACATCCTAATATGTATTATGAAAAAAACGCTTATTGTATTTATTTATTCTATTAAAGCAGTATATTTCTCAGAGGTTGAATGTTGGGGGTTTTTGTGGTCATTTAATAAAAATGTTAACATATTCTTGAGTTTGTTTGTTTAACTTAGAAGTATAAATAGAACTCAAAATAATTGAACATTGAAACTACTGTGTTGCATTGGAATAAACATGGATATATTATGTTGAGAAAATCACATGTATTTTTAAATTAAAATATGGGTGCTTGGAGAAATGTTTTGCTGATGTGGGTGGCTGCTCAAGATATGTCCCCCAAGCCCTAGAAATATATTTTGATTCACTTTCATTATTACAGATATGCCAGAGAAAAATTTTATCTTTAAACAGTTTTAAATTTTTGACTTTATAAAGGTATAATATTTCTGCATGTATGCTGCCTGAGATTTTGGAAGGCTATATATTTAAATATATCATTAAATAAATTATAGTACCTGTACTATCAAGCAAGCAAATCAAAATAAGGCAATGTTGAACAAGTTTAATAAGGAAATATTTTAAGTATTCCTGAAAGTATTACCAAAACATTAGTAAAGTTATTAAATATTAAAAGTTACTAAATATTACATCAATTATGCAAATAATTGGCAAGCCATTAAATAGAAATAGGCCCTGTGCTATAGGAGCAGTAGGAAAACATATTCAATAAGGTAAAAATATTTATATCAGAACAAAGTCTACTATCATATTTATTCTAGGAGAAGTGGATAATTCCCAACACTTTTAGAAATAATAGAAATTTTCTGACTCTCATCACAGTTATATATTGTTGGTTTGGATTAACTACCCAACATGATTTAAAAATAATATTAGTAAATTATTAAATAAAAATATTTATTTGTTATATCTTATAAAACAACATAAACAGCAACATTTAAATGAGCTGTTGCTATGATGAGGTTTATCTTATGATGAAAATGCATTCCTTTATTTGGTAAATATTTATTGATGGCAACTATGTACAAGTCACTGAAATAAAATTAGACATTTACCTTTACATCAAGGAATACAACTTTTGAAAAAAACTGAGAAATAAAAAAGGCAGAACTGAGCATCCAGACTAAGGCAGAATTTGTCATAAAAAGTGTCAGAAAAGATAATGCTAAACATAGAAAAATCTTTCACGACTTGCAGAATGATGTGATTTGGCTCTGTGTCCCCATCCAAATCTCATCTCGATTGTAATCCCCATATGTTGAGGGAGGGAGGTGACTGGATCGTGGGGGTGGTTTCTCCTATTCTGGTCTCGTGACAGTGAGTTACTTTTCATGAGATCTGATGGTTTTACAAGCCTCTGGCATTTCCCCTGCTTGCACTTCTCTCTCCTGCCACCATGTGAAGAAGGTCAGTGCTTCCTCTTCACCTTCCACCATGATTGTAAGTTTCTTGAGGCCTCCCCAGCCATGTGGAACTGTGAGTCAATTAAACCTCTTTTCTTTACAAATTACCCAGTCTTGGGTATTTCCTTATAGCAGTATGAAAATGGACTAATACACAGAGAGAGGGCCCTGCTTGAGTTTAGCTGAGCGCTGATTTGCATGTGTGTGAGGAAGCTATCCAAGAATGAGGAAAGAACCACTTAATGGATTAAGGTAAATAGTGCCCAATGCTTATGCAAAGGCTGGGAATTTTGTGGGTTCTCAAGCTATTTATGTGCCAGAATGAAAACCTAAGAATTCCTGAGGCATTGAGTTTAGCAATCAAAAGTGTCTTGCTTCAAGAATTTCAATAATTAGCTCTAAACTAAACACTGTTCTGGTTTTACCTAACAAATCTTCAAAACAAGTGACTAAAGTATCAAACTGTATCCAAGTAACTTAGTAACACTCCAGAATAAACTCAAGGGTATTTATAGGATTACAGATATACCCAGTAAAAGAAAATTTTCCAATGAAAATTTACTAAGCATGAAAAAAAGCAGGAAAATATGATGTAAGGAGAAAAATCAATAAATCAAACCTGACTCAGAACTGACACATATGTTAGAATGATTCAAGTTATGGCATTAAAACAATTATACTGTTTACCATATGTTCAAAAATTTAGAGACGAGGAAGATACTTTAAAAAATCAAACTTCTAGAGATGAAAACCACAACGTTTAAATATACATAATACCTAAAAGCACTGAATGTAATTCATAGTACACTAAACATTGAGAAGTCCCATGATCTGCAGTTGGCATGCTGGAGTTCCTGGGCCTTGGGAGGAGGCTCTGTGCAGGCCTCCCAGGGCCAGTCCCCTGGGGTCTGCTCTATACAGGTCACCCGAGGCGTTAGGGTGACCTCGGAGCCTGCCACTCCCGACAGCCAGACCCAGGGCCTGCGTTCTGCTCTATCCAGGGCCTCCCTGAAAGCCCCTGCCCGACTAGGCACAGCTGCAGCCGCCAAAGTCGGTGCAGTATACCCGGGGCTCCTGTGTGCTGGGAGCAGGCAGGAGCTCTGCCCACCCTGGGCGCGGCTGCAGCCACCCACGTCAGGGTTGTAGACTTGGGCCTCCATGTGCTCTTGAGGGCTGGGAGCAGGCAGGAGCCCCACACCCCCAGGCACAGCTGCAGCTGTCCAAATGGAGACAGTAGATGTGGGCCTCCGTGTGCTCTTGAGAGCCAGGGAAGGCCCCCTTTGCCATTGCAGGCTCAGAGGTGCCTGCTCCTACTGCCTGGTCTCTTCCCACTCTCTGCAACTGATCCAATCTAGGAGTAGGTGGAGCTGAGCCCAGGCACTGTCACAACCCTGCCAGGTATATGCATGATCGAGCCCTGCCACCTCAGCCCCCTCTGGATGTTGGGCCAGACAAGAGTGGATGCGGGCAAAGCGTTGGCCTGCAGGTGCCCCTTGGCACCATGAAAGGCGTCAGGAGGCAGACGGGCTCCTAGGTGGAAGGGAGTGGGTCCCTGTAAGGCCCCATCCTCAGGCCAGGAAGAGCCTGAAGGCTGGGGGTCAGGCTGCCACACCGGTGGACTGGAGTGGGGTCTTGTGGTGCCTTTTTCTGCCCACCCATGGCCACGGATGGACCACTCCATATGCACTTCCTCCCCTCTGAGGTCCATAAAAGCCCCAGGATCAGCAATAGCATGGTAGAGGACAACTGAGAGATGACGAGATGACCAGCTGCAGAGAGTAGCTATCCTCTCTGCTGAGAGCTGGGAAGTCAATGGGGACCTGCCTGCAGAGAGGAGCCACCTCTCCAAACACACCCAGAATGATGTTCGACCAAATATAGGCCTGTCTCATTTTATTGTGCTTCACTTTATTGCACCTGAAGGTTTGTGGCAACCTTGCAATGAGCAAATCTATCAGTATCATTTTTCCAACGGCATGTGCTCCCTTCATATCTCTATGTGACGTTTTGGTAATTCTCACAATATTTCAAACTTTTTCGTTATTATTGTATCGTTATTGTCAGGCCTCTGAGCCCAAGCTAAGCCATCGCATCCCCTGTGACCTGCATGTATATGCCCAGATGGCCTGAAGTAACTGAAGAATCACAAAATAAGTGAAAATGGCCTGTTCCTGCCTTAACTGATGACATTCCACCACAAAAGAAGTGAAAATGGCCGGTCCTTGCCTTAACTGATGACATTACCTTGTGAAATTCCTTTTCCTGGCTCATCCTGGCTCAAAAAACCTCCCCCACTGAGCACCTTGTGACCCCCACTCCTGCCCGCTAGAGAACAACCCCCCTTTGACTAATTTTCCTTTACCTACCCAAATCTTATAATATGGCCCCACCCCTATCTCCCTTAGCTGACTCTCTTTTCGGACTCAGCCCGCCTGCACCCAGGTGATTAAAAAGCTTTATTGCTCACACAAAGCCTGTTTGGTGATCTCTTCACACGGACGCGGGTGAAAGTTATGGTGACGTGTGATCAGTGATCTTTGATGTTACTATTGTAATTGTTTTAGGGAACCACAAACTGCCCATGTAAGTCAGTGAACTTAATTGATAAATGATGTATGTTTTGATTGCTCCACCCACTGGCTGTTCCACCATCTCTCCCTCTCTTCAGGCCTCTCTATTTTCTAAGACACAACAATATTGAAATGAGACCAATTAATAATCCTACAATGGCCTTTAAGTATTCAAGTGAAAGGAAGAGTCACATGTCTCTTATTTAAATCAAAAGCTAGAAATGATTAAGCTTAGTGAAGAAGGCCTATCAAAAGCCAAGACAGGCCAGAAGCTAGGGCTTTTGCACCAGTTAGCCAAGTTGTGAATGTAAAGAAAAGTTATTGAAAAAAATTAAAATGCGCTACTCCAGTAAACACATAAATAAGATAGCAAAACAGTCTTATTGCTGATATGGAGAAAATTTTTTGTGGTCTGGATAGAAAATTTTAAAAAGCTAGGGAAAAAAAGAAAAATAAATCCATGTCAGTAGAAGCCAGAAAATAATAAAGAAAATATTTAATAATTGAAAGTAATAAAATAGAAAATAATAGATAAATTAATTTTTGTATTTTTTGTAGAGACAGGGTCTCACCATGTTGCCCAGGCTGGTCTTGAACTCATGTGCTCTAGTGATCTGCCTGCCTTGGCCTCCCAAAGTGTTGGGATTGCAGGCATGAGCCACCTCGCCCTGCCTGAGTTAAACTTCTAGTGGAAAACCCCTTTTATATAAGCCACAAGCAGTTTCAGACTGTCCAATGTTATTATTACTAACATAAATTAATGTAGGCTTTCTTTTATCCTAGAGGAGTTGTGGAAAAACATCCTCATGGCATGAATTATGAGTCAGAATATTAAAGGCATAGACACAGGAGTTGGAAATTGAAAGTGTAGATGAAAAAAAAAGAAAAAGAATTTTACAATATCAAAATTAGATTTTTTCACTGAATTCAAAAAGGTCTCCACAAAACTTTTGTAAGGGATTCAAACCCTTCCTTTAAAAAATAAATAAATAAATATTTCTTAATATCAGTCTGTAGTTACTGTATCATCAGGAACAGGTTTTGAAAATTATTGTTTATGCTGAGAAAACAACTATCTGAATATAACTAATAACCATTATTACTAGATTGATTCTAGGAACATAGATAAATTTAAATTTATTTTTAAAAGACAAACATTTTTAATATTTGAAAATATAGGTCACCCTGAGCTTTCTAGTAATTGGAATGAATGACAATTGCTTTTGTTTGCTAACACATCCATTTGTCTACAATTTTCTTAATGTATTTAATTCTGAAATGATTCATTCAGTTTCGGTCTGATGAAGAGAGTAAAGTGAAAATATTACTCATCAATTGAAATATTACTATAGGGTCTTTTTGTAACTGATTTCTTTGTCATTGGATGCTCTTAGCATGTATTGATTAGATTTAATCAATCTTAAAAAAAAAGAAAAACACACATCTCTCAAATTTTAATGTGCCTTTATCTTGGAAAGTATTTTATTAAAGTTTATCCTATTTGAACTATCCCACAGTTTTCTCTAAATTATCCATTATTGTTGTATGTTGAAATTTTTGGATTATTTGTCTACTAACCACCATGTATAATATTGAATCCACCTACCATCTGTATCCAAAGCTTTTACAAAAACATTGATCAGATCACAATCAAAGTCAATGTTAAAATAGAAAATTCTTTCCTCAAAATGAAAAAAACCTGAGTATTTTTTAATCATTCATTAATTGTCTCTTATTGTTCATAAACAGCCTTATGAAAACGTGTGATCCTTACTGAGACACCATATTGTGGTACTTAATGTGGTACTATATTTGTCACTGGAGATCAAAATAAAGTTTATTGGTCTGCAACATTTACAATTCAGTTTCTTATATTTATATATATAATTCATATATATAATACACATAATATAAATCATATACATTATATATATATATATATACACACACACACGGGAACTTAGAGCTATTTTTAAACATTTGCCAAGTAGAATATACAATATATTAAATTTTTGATATTAAAAGTTTTAAAAAATTTTCTTTCAATGCTAAGAAGGTAGATTTTATGTTAAGTGTCCTTATCATGATTTCAAAAATGCCTTTTCCAAGGCATTCAATTAGGAAAAGAGGAAGTCAAATTGTCCCTCTTTGCAGATGATATGATTGTATATCTAGAAAACCCCATCGTCTCAGCCCAAAATCTCCTTAAGCTGATAGGCAACTTCAGCAAAGTCTGAGGATAAAAAATCAATGTGCAAAAATCACAAGCATTCTTATACACCGATAACAGACAGAGAGCCAAATCATGAGTGAACTCCCATTCACAATTGCTTCAAAGAGAATAAAAACCTAGGAATCCAACTTACAAGGGATGTGAAGGACCTCTTCAAGGAGAACTACAAACCACTGCTCAATGAAATAAAAGAGGATACAAACAAATGGAAGAACATTCCATGCTCATGGGTAGGAAGAATCAATATCGTGAAAATGGCCATACTGCCCAAGGTAATTTATAGATTCAATGCCATCCCCATCAAGCTACCAATGACTTTCTTCACAGAGTTGGAAAAAACTACTTTAAAGTTCATATGGAACCAAAAAAGAGCCTGCATTGCCAAGTCAATCCTAAGCCAAAAGAACAAAGCTGGAGGCATCACACTACCTGACTTCAAACTATACTACAAGGCTACAGTAACCAAAATAGCATGGTACTGGTACCAAAACAGATATAGACCAATGGAACAGAACAGAGGCCTCAGAAATAATGCCACATATCTACCAGTATCTGATCTTTGACAAACCTGACAAAAACAAGCAATGGGGAAAGGATTCTCTATTTAATAAATGGTGCTGGGAAAACTGGCTAGCCATATGTAGAAAGCTGAAACTGGATCCCCTCCTTACACCTTATACAAAAATTAATTCAAGATGGATTAAAGACTTCAATGTTAGACCTAAAACCAGAAAAACCCTAGAACAAAACCTAGGCAATACCATTCAGGACATAGGCATGGGCAAGGACTTCATGTCTAAAACACCAAAAGCAATGGCAACAAAAGCCAAAATTGATAAATGGAATCTAATTAAACTAAAGAGCTTCTGCACAGCAAAAGAAACCACCATCAGAGTGAACAGGCAACCTACAGAATGGGAGAAAATTTTTGCAACCTACTCATCTGACAAAGGGCTAATATCCAGAATCTACAATGAACTCAAACAAATTTACAAGAAAAAAACAACCCCATCAAAAAGTGGGCAAAGGATATGAACAGACACTTCTCAAAAGAAGACATTTATGGAGCCAAAAAACACATGAAAAAATGCTCATCATCACTGGCCATCAGAGAAATGCAAATCAAAACCACAATGAGATACCATCTCACACCAGTTAGAATGGCAATCATTAAAAAGTCAGGAAATAACAGGTGCTGGAGAGGATACGGAGAAACAGGAACACTTTTACACTGTTGGTGGGACTGTAAACTAGTTCAACCATTGTGGAAGTCAGTGTGGCAACTCCTCAGGGATCTAGAACTAGAAATACCATTTGACCCAGCCATCCCATTACTGGGTATATACCCAAAGGATTATAAATCATGCTGCTAGAAAGACACATGCACACATATGTTTATTGTGGCGCTATTCACAATAGCAAAGACTTGGAACCAACCCAAATGTCCAACAATGATAGACTGGATTAAGAAAATGTGGCACATATACACCATGGAATACTATGCAGCCATAAAAAAATGATGAGTTCATGTCCTTTGTAGGGATATGGATGAAGCTGGAAACCATCATTCTCAGCAAACTATCACAAAGGACAAAAACCCAAACATCGCATGTTCTCACTCATAGGTGGGAATTGAACAATGAGATCACATGGACACAGGAAGGGGAACATCACACTCTGGGGCCTGTTGTGGGGTGGGGGGAGTGGGGAGGGATAGCATTAGGAGATATACCTAATGCTAAATGACTAGTTAATGGGTGCAGCACACCAACATGGCACATGTATACATATGTAACAAACCTGCACGTTGTGCACATGTATCCTAAAATTTAAAGTATAATTTTAAAAAATGCCTTTTCCATAATCACACATATTTAAGAATGGAATTCATTCACTTTTGAGTAAAAATTATTCATCTGGGGGATTGTTAAAATGAGGGCTGGATTATCAGTTTCAGAGTAATTTTAGAAAAGACAACATGTTTGAAGAAAGTTTAGCTCTCTAAGTCATGGTTTTATTCTGAGATTCTTTGATTCTACTATTATGTCTGGGTTTATGTAAATAATTACTAAGTATTCCTTTTTTTTTTTACATAAGGCCAGTGCAATCATGCATGATTTTATTGGTGACCAGTTAAAATGAAACTGTTAATTAATGAAAAAAATCCTTTTTACTAGAAAAACCTGTGAACCTGTGTTACAGAAAACGAGTTATGTATAATATTCATTTTTTTAACCTGAAATGCATCGACTACAAGAGTTAGCTAAACCAAGATAATAATTAACTACTTCCCACTGAGGCAATTCCCTGAGGGAGAGGTCCATGAAATCCCCTGCTTTGAACTCATAGTTTTTATCTGAAACACCAACTTTCCTGCACAGGATTTTTGTCCCCAGTGCCTGGACAGCACTGGCTTCATTTCAAATACCCCTTAGTTAATAGGAAATTTAAATGTCCCTGGGCAGTTACATCCTGTTTGGTCCTATATAAAAGCGTTTCAGTCCTTTCCTTACATGGAAATTTCACTGACTGAAACACCAGCTTGATTCTAGAACAAAGATGCTCAGTCTCAGGATCAATTGAGATTTGTTTCTACCGAGAGATCCACTCTGGTGAGTAAAACTTCTTCAAATTTTATGGAATTTATCCAACATTTATGTAGCACCTGCTTAGTGCCAGCGACTATGCGAGTCTTCAAAGTTATAACTCTAAATAAGATACATAATTTCTCACTCCTTAACTAAGAACAGTTTAAATAAGCTGCGATATCTATGCAAATAAGGTAGTATAAATTATAAAAAAGTATATAAAGCATAAAAAAGTTAGTATAAATTATAAGGAATCTTAAATGAATGCAATCTGGGCTCCAAAGAGTGACAATTCTTCTTGGGTCGACAGTTAAACTCAGGTGAATTATAAATGGAAAGAGACAATGTAGCTGTGTTAAAAGATAGTTAAGTATTTGCCAAACAAATGAGGGGAGATTTTTTTTCTTTTTTTTTCTTTTTTTTTTCTTTTTTTTTTTTTTTTTTGAGACGAGTCTCGCTCTGTCACCCAGGCTGGAGTGCAGTGGCGCGACCTTGGCTCACTGTAACCTCCGCCTCCTGGGTTCAAACAATTCTCCTGCCTCAGCCTCCCTAGTAGCTGGGATTACAGGTGCCCACCACCGTGCCCGGCTAATTTTTGTATTTTTAGTAGAGATGGGGTTTCGCCATTTTGGCCAGGCTGGTTTTGAACTCCTGACCTCAGGTGATCTGCCCACCTCAGCCTCCCAAAGTGCTGGGATTACAGGTGTGAGCAACCGTGCTCAGCCATGAGGGGCAATTCTAATGGGAGGACTTCCAGACAGGAGGGATAGTGTGATTTAAGAAAAGAAACACAGCATGGTGATACAACCTGATTGATTTATTAAGAGTAATTAAGTCAGTCGCCATTATTAGACATGGAGATTGGCATGGGGTTAGAGAAGTCACAATGATAGATAATACTGGAATGGCAGTCAGGAAGCATTGTAAAGATATTGTTTGCCATCCTAAGCTTTTTGGGCATCATTGCATAATCAAGTCAATAAAGAGCTAAAAGCTAAATTAATGTTACAAGATGTGATCTGCATCACCATTTGTCCTGGCAACAGCATTGAAGTTGGATTAGAAATACATAAAACTGAAGAATAAAATATTGCCAGAGATAATGAAGGTTTGAACTAATCTGTACGTGTGACAGCAAGATGTAATAACTACAACAGATAGTAAGCAAATAAAATTTTGGTGTTTGATTGGATATACAGATTAAAGCAAAGTTGTGCCATTCTTTGAAATAGGTCACAGTGACAGGGAGATGTCTGGGAGAAGAGATGAGTCCTTATGGGAAAGACCCATTCAGGGACAGTGATGTGCCAACCGTGAAGCAGGATATGAGGACCTGCAACCCAGGGGACCTGCAACCCAGAAGACCTATGGTAGTGCTCGAAACAGCAGACTATTATTTTCTATTGTGTAGGAAAATAGTTAATCTGTCTTCTTTAAAAGGCACAGGAATATTTTTGAGTAAACAAAAGTACAGAAAGAAAGTGTCAGGACAAATTTTTGGAAACCATCAAATTTCAATAAATGTTAAAAGAAGACCCAGATAACGAGACTAAGAAAAAATATTCAGAGAGGAAATAGAAAACCAGAACTAAGTGGCATAGAGCCAATGGAAGTCAGCTGTTTTAGAAGAAAGAACTGTATAATAGTGTCATATATTTGAGAAACAAAATTTAAAATAAAAACAAAATAGAAAGAGTGCATTGAATTTACCGTTGTGATAGTTATTTGTGGATTTGCTGGAGCTGTTTGTGAGGACTCATGAAGCAAGAATGATTAACATGGTTCAAGAATTGAACCAAATGTGCCAGGGCACAGAATGATACCCTATTCTGCTCATAAAGCATGGCTGTAAAGAGAAGGGACATTATAAGTAAGTCCTAAGTGTGGAGTGAAGACTTTTCTTTTTCTTTAAAATGGATGAGTCTTAAGATTATCTCTATCTATCTATCTATCTATCTATCTATCTATCTATCTATCTATCATCTATCTATCTCTAATCTATCATCTATCAACAGAGCATAGTGAAACAATCTGGTTCATTAAGAGTAATCTCAGTAAATCAACATTATTAGAATTTTTAGACATGGAGTTTGTGTTGATTTTATACACACACATATACAGACACACACACACACATAAAATGTGCACTATTATGAAAGAGAGAGAGAGAGCAAGTGCATACTGTGGCAAAGATGCCCTTTGCGATAGAGCAAGGTTGAGTATAGGGTTGGTCACTGACTTGGAAAGGAAAAAAGAGCTCTTTCTCTGCCTTTGAAACCCTAGAGTGGGTGGAATTAAATCATGTTAGAGATCATTTCGTTTATATACAGGTAGGAAACTGAGGGGCTTAACATATAATTACCTATGTTTTCTCATTGAAGTTATTGGCAATGCTACCTCCCAGGAAATAGAGGAAAATAGTGAAGAAGAGACACAGGATGCTAACTCTTTAGAGCAGCTACTGGAATGAATTAGAGTTTACCTACATAACATATTTGCACATGTACCACTGAACCTAAAAGAGAACTACTTTCAAAAAAATTGAGGGTTTCAACATATGAGAGGTAAAAAACGGAAAAGTTTAGAAATGTTTTGTAGGATAAAATTTGCATACAAGTGGTTAGTGAAGACAGAAAAAAATGCTTGGGGGAAACAAATGACATTGAAAGAATCATTATACTCTCCACCAAAAAATGTTTAGTTTTATTATAAATAAAGTATTTAATGCAGGTATGACTTGGAAGGATTGAACACAGGTTTTATATGTTCTCGCAGTATCATCCTTAATCCTAAGAGTATCTCCACACGTATATGATTCCCTTCCTTCTTATTTGATAAGTGATGAATTAATCAATACAATTTGGAACTAGTGAAATTAAAATGATGAAATTTTCCATTTATTAATCAGATATAAAAATTATTATCTATGTCTTCAAAGAAAATAAAAATGAAAATAGGTTGGTGGGAGTTGTTGAGAGGAGAATATGGTGTGTGCATTCAAGTTTTTTCTTACGATTTTTCTCCTCCTTCCCTCTATGGAGAAACCTTAATGGGGAGGCTAAATGATAGAGGTTTTTCTTAGATTACATTAACAATGTGTATTAGAAGTGGTAAGTAACACGATGCTTTTGATTTTCAAGCCAGAGACAGTAAGTTTTAAAATATAAGTGAATTGCTTTCATCTATTCACATTTTATTTTAAATTCCAAAACTACCATCCAATATTTGGAGCAAGTTAAGCCAGGCATTAAGATTGGCAGCACTGGGGATTAAGCTATATCTTATGGAGGACCAGGAAAACTGTAGGAGCAAGAAAGCTAGAGAAACTTTGAAGAAAGTAACCCCTGTTTTCCTCTGATTCCTACTGCCATGAAGCAGGGGATGTGACCATCAGTGAGGGATTAAGGGCCCTTCCAGCCCTGAGACTGTTCCTTGTGGAAAAAAAAAATTTCCTAAAAATTAGTTTCAGTCAGTTCTCAAAATAAATTACAGCAAAATCAAAAAGATCTTGGTTTAAGTGATTTTTAACCTTTTCCTACAGCTTAGGGATTAATAAATGAAACAAACTACAATATCAGATGCAGTTACTTCAAAATCAGATGCATTAACTCATGTAACTTAGCCATTAAGTTTTTGTCTATATAGAACTGAAATCAATTATGTAGATATCCCGTTAAATAAGTATTTACTTAGAACCTATATGTTAGATGCCTTTGGTCAAGGGTGAAGAAATGGACAGAAATGATGAAGGAATAGTCTTTGTGCAGAAGAAACTCAGTGAAAATGATACTGATTGACCTTTCAACAAATGCACAGATTTAAAAAGAAAAAAAAGAGGCAAAAATTAGTTAGCAGAGTGATTCTGATACACAAAATAATTCTATGATGGTGTTGATTCTATAATAATAGCACATTTAAAATGAAATAGGAAAAGTTACATCATTTAATCCTCCTAACAATTGTTACATCTGGTATAGATTTTTTTTTTGTTTGGTTGGTTATTTTAAGAAATGGGCTCCCACTATCTAATATATTTCAAGTCCTAGAAAGAAATATATATATATATTTTTTCATTCAGGAACTCACAATGAGACACAGCACTAGAAAGATATATACTCTACTACCTAGCATTCTGCCTATCACATAGATTTTAGAAAATCTCTTTATTTCTTCAAATGGATTTGATTGAAAATGTCCAACCCCAAGTTGTCATAAGAATTTTGAGAATTAAACGTTCTTTGACGGTGAACCTTTGTCACTTAGTTGCAAGATCTCCAAAGCTCAGGATTCAATGCCTGATATCAGTGGCATCTGCATTTTACAATTTTGAGACATTTCATTTTTCAAAATTTCTATGAAAAGTTTATTACAATCAAATGTAATCTTTTTAAAGTGTTAAGAGCTTTTCAAAGGAAAAAATATGACTGTTCTTTGAGCTAACCTCTCTTCTAGATTAGCTTCTGAGCTGTTTCTAGATCTGCCTCTGAGCTGTTTCTAGATCCATTTGCAAGGTGGTATCAATAACTTCATGTTAGCTGGTTAGCAAAAGAAGCTATATAGTGCATCGTTGTAATACTAAGGCATCATATAGAAGATGTAATGAGATTGGTATGCTAGAATCATTTTCATTGACTTTATTGAAGGTAAAGACTTTATCATTTCCATCAATTTCTCCCTCTTTGACAATGCAAACTCTGCTCCAGAAAATGTTTATGACTTGTTGATCACATTCAGGGATTCTATTTCTGAATAATTGCTAAAACGTTTTTGAATTGAATATTAACTAATCGCAATGAAAATAAATTCATCTCATTTCAATACCTCCATGCTGAGGAATTGAGTTACTTGACACACAAATATATTAGATGTCATGCATTTTCTTCCTACTGTCTTTGGCTTCCTAAACAGAGTCACACTTGGTATCTTCAGAGAGACTATGGTCAATTTGACTTCAACGAGTGGATTCCTTCTTATGGGGTTTTCTGATGAGCGTAAGCTTCAGATTTTACATGCATTGGTATTTCTGGTGACATACCTGCTGGCCTTGACAGGCAACCTCCTCATTATCACCATCATTACCGTGGACCGTCGTCTCCATTCCCCCATGTATTACTTTTTAAAGCACCTCTCTCTTCTGGACCTCTGCTTCATCTCTGTCACAGTCCCCCAGTCCATTGCAAATTCACTTATGGGCAACGGTTACATTTCTCTTGTTCAGTGCATTCTTCAGGTTTTCTTCTTCATAGCTCTGGCCTCATCAGAAGTGGCCATTCTCACAGTGATGTCTTATGACAGGTACGCAGCAATCTGTCAACCACTTCATTATGAGACTATTATGGATCCCCGTGCCTGTAGGCATGCAGTGATAGCTGTGTGGATTGCTGGGGGCCTCTCTGGGCTCATGCATGCTGCCATTAACTTCTCCATACCTCTCTGTGGGAAGAGAGTCATTCACCAATTCTTCTGTGATGTTCCTCAGATGCTGAAACTAGCCTGTTCTTATGAATTCATTAATGAGATTGCACTGGCTGCATTCACAACGTCTGCAGCATTTATCTGTTTGATCTCCATTGTGCTCTCCTACATTCGCATCTTCTCTACAGTGCTGAGAATCCCATCAGCTGAGGGCCGGACCAAGGTCTTCTCCACCTGCCTACCACACCTATTTGTAGCCACCTTCTTTCTTTCAGCTGCAGGCTTTGAGTTTCTCAGACTGCCTTCTGATTCCTCATCGACTGTGGACCTTGTATTCTCCGTATTCTATACTGTGATACCTCCAACACTCAATCCAGTCATTTATAGCTTACGGAATGATTCCATGAAGGCAGCACTGAGGAAGATGCTGTCAAAGGAAGAGCTTCCTCAGAGAAAAATGTGCTTAAAAGCCATGTTTAAACTCTGAAGAACCATACAAATGAAAGGCATTGTTATTATGTTTCAGATTGGAAGAGAGGTGAATCTTATTTCTACCCAGAATGCTCTTCCAAGCTGTCTATTGTATATATTCCTCTCAAATATAATTCTTTAAAATTTAAGATGTTGTGCTCTAATAATATTAGCTTTCCTTCCTCCCTCCAATTCAAGTGTTATTTTAAGTCATCTTTGGAAAATTTTTCTGAAATGAAGGAGAAAGACAATTAGTTTGGAGTCTGGCCTGTATAATTTAAAACTTGTTATTAACAAATAAGGTTGGAGATAGATGAAGCTAACTGGGTTAATATTATGGTGCATATATGGTATTTCCAGTGGGCCTCCTAGTTTTCTATCCATATTAAGTATTCATATTAAGTTCTTTTACTATTATTACAGTGGTGATTTCAACAATTTATTCAGCCCCTAGTAAGTATCAAGTGCTTTATATATATACATTTTTTTGACTCAAGAAAACAACTCTTCTAGCTATAACATATTGTCCCCATTTTGCCAATAGGAACAATAAATTTAGGAAGGATTAGTTAATTTTCCTGAGATTTCTCAAATAAATGGTAGTTAAGCTCTGATTCAAATTAATATTTGTCTGACTCAAACAATAAGGTCATTTATGTTCCTTACTGATGGCAAATGCATTATTACCCAAATGTGAGTGTGTATGTTTATGTGTGTGTGTGATGTGTATAATCTATAAATATAAGCATATACTACTATAATCTATTAATAAAATTGTCATCACCCTTGTGCATCCCTATTACTGGAGGTATTTATATTAATTCCTTTACTTTTCTGATCTGTACAAGAGTTTGACAAATTGGTTTTACAGAGTTAGGCAGGGGATGCTCCCTAGTTCCATGAAACAGAATATAGATAAACTGCAAATGAAGAGTTCCAACTTATGAATGTGTGAGATAAGGAGGCACAAATCTTGTGAATCTGAATATCTGATTCAATTTTGTGTAATGCTGCAGATTTCTTCAAGAAAGACTCATAATTTACAAGAGTACAAAACTGGACTAGTCCCCTCAGTTTTGAAGTAAATCAAAGTGCATGTTTTAATGACAAAGGGAATAAGCAATTGCTCAGTAATGGGGAATGTTTTTATAGGACTTTTTTGAATTAATGGTTATAATATCTACATATGCATATACCTTAGTAAGTTTTTTTTTCTTTAATCTGCCACATGAGATTTTTTCTTTTTTTTATATACTTTAAGCTCTGGGGTACATGTGCAGAACTTGCAGGTTTGTTACGTAGGTATATACATGCCATGGTGGTTTGCTGCACCCATCAACCTGTCAACTACGTTAGGTATTTCTCCTAATGCTATCCCTCCCTTACCCCCTCACCCCCAAACAGGCCCCAGTGTGTGATGTTCCCCTACCTGTGTCCATGTGTTCTCATTGTTCAGCTCCTACTTATGAGTGAGAACATGCAATGTTTAGTTTTATGTTCTTGTGTTAGTTTGCTGAGAATGATGGTTTCCAGCTTCATCCATGTCCCTGCAAAGGACATGAAATCATCTTTTTTATGGCTGCATAGTATTCCATAGTATTCCATGGGTGTATATGTGCCACCTTTTCTTTATCCAGTGTATTATTGATGGGCATTTGGGTTGGTTTCAAGTCTTTGCTATTGTGAACAGTGCCACAATAAACATACGTGTGCATGTGTCTTTATAGTAGAATGATTTATAATCCTTTGGGTATATACCCTGTAAAGGGATTCCTGGGTCAAATGGTATTTTTGGTTCTAGATCCTTGAGGAATCGCCACACTGTTTCCACAATGGTTGAACTAGTTTACAGTCCCACCAACAGTGTAAAAGTGTTCCTGTTTCTCCACGTCCTCTCTAGCATCTGTTGTTTCCTGCCTTTTTAATGATAGCCATTCTAACTGGCATGAGATGGTATCTCATTATGGTTTTGATTCACATTTCTCTGATAACCAGTGATGATGAGCTTTTTTTCATATGTTTGTTGGCCACATAAATGTCTTATTTTAAAAAGTGTCTGTCAGGCCGGGGCATTGGCTCATGCCTGTAATCCCAGCATTTTAGGGGGCCGCAGCAGGCAGATCACGAGGTCAGGAGATTGAGACCATCCTGGCTAACATGGTGAAACTCCATCTCAACTAAAAATACAAACACTTAGCTGGGCGTGGTGCCATGAACCTGTAATCCCGGCTACTCAGGAGGCTGAGGCAGGAGAATCGCTTGAACCTGGAGAATCCCAAAAGTGTCTGTTCACATCCTTCGCCCACATTTTGATGGGGTTGTTTGTTTTTTTCTTGTAAATTTGTTTAAATTCTTTGTAGATTCTGGATATTAGCCCTTTGTCAGATGGATAGATTACAAAAATTTTCTCCCATTCTGTAGGTTGCCTATTCACTCTGCTGATGATTTCTTTTCCTGTGCAGAAGCTCTTTAGTTTAATTTGATCCCATTTGTCAATTTTGGCTTTTGTTGTCATTGCTTTTGATGTTTTAGTCATGAAGTCTCTGCCCATGCCTAAATCCTGAATGGTATTGCCTAGGTTTTCTTCTTGGGTTTTTATGGTTTTAGGTCTTACGTTTAAGTCTTTAATCCATCTTGAGTTAATTTTTGTATAAGGTATAAGGAAGGAGTCCAGTTTCAGTTTTCTGCATATGGCTAGCCAGTTTTCTCAACAGCATTTATTAAATAGGGGATTCTTTCCCCATTGCTTGTTTTTGTCAAGTTTGTCAAAGATCAGATGGTTGTAGATGTGTGGCATTATTTCTGAGGCCTCTGTTCTGTTCTGTTGGTCTATATATCTGTTTTGGCACCAGTAACATGCTGTTTTGGTTACTGTAGCTTTGTAGTATACTTTGAAGTCAGGTAGCATGATGCTTCCAGCTTTGTTCTTTTTGCTTAGGATTATCTTGGCTATGTGGGCTCTTGTTTGGTTCCATATGAAATTTAAAGTAGTTTTTTCCTATTCTGTGAAGAAAGTCAATGGTAACTTGATGGGGATAGCATTGAATCTATAAATTACTTTGGGCAGTATGGCCATTTTTCATGATATTGATTCTTCCTACCCATGAGGATGGAATGTTTTTCCATTTGTTTGTGCCCTCTCTCCTTGAGCAGTGGTTTGTAGTTCTCCTTGAAGAGGTCCTTCACATGCCTTGTAAGTTGTATTCCTGGGTATTTTATTCTCTTTGTAGCAGTTATGAATGGGAGTTCACTCATGATTTGGCTCTCTGTTTTTTTTATTATTGGTGTATAGGAATGCTTGTGGTTTTTGCACATTGATTTTGTATCCTGAGACTTTGCTGAAATTGCTTATAAGCTTAAGGAGATTTTGGGCTGAGACGATGGGGTTTTCTAAGTATAGAATCATGTCATCTGCAAACAGAGACAATTTGAATTCCTCTCTTTCTATTTGAATACCTTTTATTTTTTTCTCTTGCCTGATTGCCCTGGCCAGAACTTCCAACATTATGTTGAATAAGAGTGGTGAGAGAGGGCATCCTTGTCTTGTGACAGTTTTCTCAGGGAATGCTTCCAGGTTTTGCCCATTCAGTATGATATTGGCTGTGAGTTTGTCATAGATAGCTTTTATTATTTTGAGATACATTCCATCAATATCTAGTTTATTGAGAGTTTTTAGCATGAAGGGCTGCTGAATTTTGTCGAAGGCCTTTTCTGCATCTATTGAGATAATCATGTGGTTTTTGTCATTGGTTCTGTTTATGTGATAGATTCCATTTATTGATTTGCATATTTGAATCAGCTTTGCATCCCAGGAATGAAGCTGACTTGATCATGGTAGATGAGCTTTTTGATGTGCTGCTGGATTCGGTTTGCCAGTATTTTATTGAGGATTTTCACATCAATGTTCATCAGGGATATTGGCCTGAAATTTTCTTTTTTTGTTGTGTCTCTGCCAGGTTTTGGTATCAGGTTGATGCTGGCCTCATAAAATGAGTTATGGAGGATTCCCTCTTTTTCTATTGTTTGGAATATTTTCAGAAGGAATGGTACCAGCTCCTTTTTGTACTTGCGGTAGAATTCGTCTGTGAATCTGTCTGGTTCTGGGCTTTTCTTGGTTGGTAGGCTATTAACTACTACCTCCATTTCAGAACTTGTTATTGGTCTATTCAGGCATTAGACTTCTTCCTGGTTTAGTCTTGGAAGGGTTTATGTGTCCAGGCATTTATCCATTTTTTCTAGATTTTCTAGTTTATTTGCATAGAGATGTTTATAGTATTCCCTGATGGTAGTTTCTATTTCTGTGGGATCAGCAGTGATATGCCATTTATCATTTTTATAGTGTCTATTGATTTTTCTCTCTTGTCTTCTTTATTAGTCTGGCTAGCAGTCTACTTTGTTAATTATTTCAAAAAAACCAGCTCCTGGATTCATTGATTTTTTGAATTTTTTTGTGTGTGTCTCTATCTCCTTCATTTCTGCTCTGATCTTAGTTATTTCTTGTCTTCTGCTAGCTTTTGAATTTGTTTTCTCTTGCTTCTCTAGTTGTTTTAATTGCGATATTAGAGTGTCGATTTTAGATCTTTCCTGCTTTCTCCTGTGGGCATTTAGTGCTATAAATTTCCCTTTAAACACTGCCTTAGCTGTACTCCTGCAGCTAGCTCAGTCTCTGCGCAAACAGCCGCCCAGTTTTGTGCTTGAAACCCAGGACCCCAGTAGCGTAGGCACCCAAGGGAATCTACTGTTCTGTGGTTTGCGAAATCCATGGGAAAAGCGTAGTATCTGGGCTGGAGTGCACTGTTCCTCATGGCTCAGTCCCTCATGGCTTCCCTTGGCTAGGGGAGGGAGTTGTCTGACCCCTTGCGCTTCCCGGGTGAGGCGATGCCCCACCCTGCTTCGGCTAGCCCTCCCTGGGCTGCACCCACTGTCTAACCAGTCCCTGTGAGATTAGTCGGGTATCTCAGTTAGAAATGCAGAAATCATCTGGCTTCTGCATTGATCTCAGTGGGAGCTGCAGACCGAAGCTGTTTCTATTCCACCATCTTTCCAGCCACCCACACTGATTTCTAAAGTAGTTGTTCCATATTATATTCCCTAGATAATCAAGAATTGTTATAAAGGGCTGGGCGTGGTAGCTCACGCCTGTAATCCCAGCACTTTGGGAGGCCGAGGTGGACGGATGACGAGGTCAGGAGATCAAGACCATCTTGGCTACCTTGTCAGGTGTTTTGAAAAACTTTTAGCTTTTTAAACACATTCATGGTGATATATATCGATGAGTTTATTTTGTATTGCCCTGTTCAACAAGGTTGAACATCTTTTCCTGGACTTATTAGTTATTTGTGTGTCTTCATTTGTGAAGTTTTTGCTCAGACACTTGGCCCATTTTTAAAACAAGTTGTTAATCTTTCTATTATGAAGACATTTACATATGTGTGTATATATGTATATATACTGGATAAAAATCTTTTGTCAGATACACGTATTACAGATGTTTTTTCTAATCTCCTGTGATTGTCTTTTTTTTCCATCAGGTTCTTTTGGAGAGTAAAACTTTAAAAATTTTGATGTAGTTCAATCTATCAACTTTGTGTTTTATAATTCATGTTTGGTGTCCTATCTTCCAAAAATACCTTCTTTAAAATTACAAAGTTTTTTTTCTTTTGAGACAGGGTCTCACTCTGTCACCCAGGCTGGAGTGCAGTGGTGCAATCTTGGCTCACTGCAACCTCCGCCTCCTGGTTCAAGCAATTCTCGTGCCTCAGACTCTCAAGTAGCTGAGATTACAAGTGTGTGCTGCTATGCTGGCTCATTTTCTTTCTTTCTGTCTTTTTTGTTTGTTTGTTTGTATTTTTAATAGAGATGGGATTTCAGTATGTTGGCCAGGCTGGTTTTGAACTCCTCACCTCAAATGATCCACCTGCCTTGGCCTCCTAATATGCTGGGATTACAGGCATGAGCCACCGCGCCCGGCCTAAAATTATAAAGGTATTTTTCTATGTGACCATTTAGAAAATGAATAGTTTTAGCTTCTATATTAATTAAGTCTGTGATCCTTATTGAGTTAATTTTTGAGTGTAGTATAAAGTGAGTGTTAATGATCATTCTTTTTCTATACAGATATATAGTTTTTAGTGTGATTTATTGAAAAGACATTATTTTCCCCCATTGATTTGCCTTAGCACCTTGTCAATATATGGGCTTACTATTCTTTTTCATTGATCTATGTGTTTATTTTTAACTAATACCATACCATACTGATTTCAGCAACTTTATAACGATTTTTTTTTGAGACGGAGTCTTGCTCTGTCGCCCAGGCTGGAGTGCAGTGGCACCATCTCGGCTCACTGCAAGCTCCGCCTCCTGGGTTCACGCCATTCTCCTGCCTCAGCCTCCTAAGTAGCTGGGACTATAGGCGCCCACCACCATGCCTGGCTAATTTTTTTGTATTTTTAGTAGAGACGGGGTTTCACCGTGGTAGCCAGGATGGTCTCGATCTCCTGACCTCGTGATCCGCCCACCTCGGCCTCCCAAAGTGCTGGGATTACAGGCATGAGCCACCACGCCGTGCCCTTTATAACAATTCTTGAAGTCAGGTAGTTTAATGCCTCTAATCTTTTGATTTTCTAGGCTTTGATTTTCCAAGTCTTCTGCATTTCCATATACACTTTAGAATTAGCTTGTTAATTCGTACTAAAAAGAAGCATGCTGGCATTTTTATTAGGATTGCATCAAATCTATAGATCATTTCTGAGAAAATAGAAGTCTTAATATTGAGTCATTTAATTCATAAACACAACATAGCTTCCCATTTTTTAGGTCTTTAATTTCTTTCAGTAACGTTACATGGCTTTCAGTGAGGCAGTCTTGTTCCTTTATTAAATTTATTACTAATTATTCACATTTTAAGTTTTGAATACAAAAATTACACTTCATGCTCCTTAAATTGTTTCAAATGTTGTAGAAATAACATTAAAATAAGAATTTCCTCTTTAATAGTGATTCCTAGAGGTTATCACTATTTTAATTTTGATATATATATATAGACAAAATTGCATATATTATTTCTTTTTTCCTTTTATTATGTGGTTGGATCTCAAGTGCAGAAGGTTGAGTTCATTACATTTATCAGTTCATGGCACCCTGTCCTCATTAATATGTGCACGATCTCTCTCATCTTACTTTATTTAAAACATTTCTTTCCTGTCTGTTTCTACTACCATTCCCCCTAAGGAAAACAATTATTATAAGTTTCATGTGTAACATTTTATGGGCTCTTAATTTCTATTAGTATTGTTGTTTTAGGATATTTTATTCTATAAAATAGTATTACATTATAATCTTATTCAGTTTCTTACTTTTTTTCACTCAGCACACTACTTTTAAGAGCTATCACGTTACAATGTCTACATCTAGCCCACTTTTTCTAAAAACTGCATTTTTTTGATGTTGTACATCCTCAACCTTCGCAAATCTGCTCTCCCGTTGATGGACATCTGGGTTGCTTCTAATTCCCCATTACCATAAATTATGCCAAACAACTGTTGTTATGGACCTGTGTAAGGATTTATTTAGGATATATACCTGGAAGCAAAATTGCTCAGGTCCAATATATGAGAGACTTAATTTGAATTTTTATACCCAGAATGTGCTCCAGAATGCTTCCATGAGGCTACACTCCTACCAGCGGGGCAGACGTGTTCCTGTCATTTCCTCACCTGTCCCAATTCTTGGCACTACCCTGCTTTCTAATACTTACTACTCAAATAGAATACAATGTTACCTCACTTTTAAACTTTGGAGAAATTTTAAACCTGTAAAAAATTTGTAAAAACAATACAGAGGCTTCTCTTTTTATCCCTCACCTTGTTTCCCTAATGTTACTATCTTAACAAAATCATAACACTTCTCTCTTTATAAAATAGCCTAAATAGCTTGAGGTGTTTTTTTATTTTTGTTTTTTCGCTTTTAACTTTTTGGAACACTTTTTGCTCATATCTCTCGATCTGCTTTCTTATGCCTGTGCTAGCGTATAATAAAACTATAATAATAATAATGACATGTAATAAGTACTACTTATGCCAAGGATTATTCTAGGCTTCAAAGGTATTATTGTGTTCAACATTTACAATAAATCTTGTGAGGCAAATAATATTGATATTCCTACTTTAAAGATAAGGAAATTAAGGCACAGGTCACTAATCAACTTATCTACAGTCACTAGCAAACTACTAGCTAACCTGGGACTCAAACTCAAGGCAGTTTGGCCCCCAAGTTTTCATTCTTTACCACTATGGTATTTTAAGGAAAAATTCGATATTATTTTATGAATATAGTTTTGCTTCTCTTTTTTTCAGTTGCAAAAGACCTAACGCATCTGATATATCAAAATATATCAGTCAACCATTATGCAGAAAAGGGTTAACTTTTCATGTCTGTGTTGCAGAACCCTGTATATTCCCAAGAAAGGCCTATATTCAGGACTGGCCCTTGGCAGGCTCCTGGAAGAGGAGCTCTAAGTTCTTTGAATATCCTGCCTAATAAAATGTTTTTTTTAAAATAATTTGTTTTATTGGGTCACAATATAAATTTGATCAGATAGATTATGCTAACAAGGTGATTTATGGTGCCTATTTTTGCTCTGGTGGGCTGGGGTCTGAGTAGCTGAGGTCAGTTACACAGGTGCCGTATGCCTACCTGACTGATCCCCCATAAAAACCTTCTACATCAAACTTGAGTGAACTTCCTGGTTGGCATTATTCTGCATGTGTTATCGTACCATTGATGGCACAATTAAGCACATCAATGTAACTCACTGGAAGAAAACACCTGGAAGCTTATTCCTGGTTTCTCCTAGACTCCCGGCACCTCATGCACTTTTTCCCTTTGTTCATTTTTAATATGATAACTTTTCAATACTAACAGGGACACAAATATGCACATAACACATTATGCCATGTCTTATATCTTTCTTGAGTTGACGTTCTATGAGATATATTATCACATCAACACATGAGTTAAAATTGTCCTATTATCCATACCTTTCAATGCTGTCCATGTTGTTAAATTATAGCAGCTTTCTATTTTGATTTATAAATGGACAGGGATATATCAGTAAGACACTACCAGAGTAGTGCAGTGAATATGCATGCATTCTTACATGTTTACAGAGAGAGATAGGAAAATAAAAGGAAAGGAATGGGATGGAAAGAAAAGGAAAGAAATAAATAAATGAAAGAAAAGAAAATGAAAGAATAAGAAAGGAAAGGGAAGGAATGCCAGCCTTTCCCTAAAGACACATGACACAACTTGAGACCAAAAGTCATAGCATTATAAACAGAATCCCTACGTTTATAACTCTTTCTGTTTGATTTTTACCCTCAGAAGGAAGATTACAAAAAACAATGCAACTGAAATTCATACTTCATAATAATGGTTAAAGCAATAACCATTAATAGTTCATAAGATTTGAGTCCAATAACTTTTAAAGGCATAATTCTTTATGAGCGTATTTTATTTCCCTTTATGCGCAGCTCTAGGCTCCTTTTCCTACTTCCCTGTTTCTAAAAGGTATCCACTATACATTTCTGAAAAATTATGTTTTTGCCTTTGACATCTAAAGCTTCCTGATATAATGTGAAATCATTCTTCAAAGTAGGTTTAGCAATTTACACCCTTACCAACCTTGTATATGAGCTCTCAGAGCTTTACATACTTATCCAACGAGTTACTACTCTAAGGATACTGACAGATACAGCACACTCTACTTTTAATTTGCTTTTTCTATCTTATTAGACATTTTTGTTTGTGTGTTTACTAGGCATTTGGATTTGTTTGCAGACTTTTGCTCATTTTCATTTTGGCC